>NC_000014.9:72945046-73096561 GCF_000001405.40 Homo sapiens | reverse complement strand
GTTACGTAGTAAAGGCAAAATACAATTTTAAGTTAATTGTGATAGCTACCACTCAGAAAAAGCAAAATTGTATGTAGATTAAACAAACAAACAAAAACATCAGATTGCTAAATATACCAAACTGCAAGAATCGGGAGTTTAGGGGCTGTAATGATGGCTTATTTCCTATTTGCTTTCTACGAGTGCTTATAATGCAGGAATACATACCACTTATAGAAACCATACACTTACAACCCTAACAAGGAATCAAAGTAAGTATTTGTAGGTCTTTATCAATAATTTTCTGGCCAGGCGCAGTGGCTCACTCCTGTAATCCCAGCACTATGGGAGGCCGAGGCGGGGGCGGATCATGAGGTCAGGAGTTCAAGACCAGCCTGGCCAACATGGTGAAACCCCACTCTACTAAAAATACAAAAATTAGCCGAGTGCGGTGGTGCATGCCTATAATTCCAGCTCCTCGGGAGGCTGAGGCAGGAGAATCGCTTAAAACCGGAAGGCAGTGGTTGCAGTGAGCAGAGATTACGCCACTGCACTCCAGCCTGGGCAAAAGAGCGAAACTCCATCTCAATAATAATAATTATTATTTTCTAAGAAGTCTAGATTATTCCCTCTATGTGGGGAAAATTGTTGGCTTCTAATGTGCTACAATAGTTGTGCTACAATAGTTGTGCATGCCCCAAAGTTTTTAACGACTTACTTGGTAAACATATACCGTGCACATTTTCAGATACATACAAGAACCATGCTCATGTGCATACATGCCTGGCTCTTGGTCATAATTCCTGCAACTCTATTCAAGGTGAGTTTCATGCCTTGTGCCTCCTTAACAATGTAACTTAGCAGTAACTTTATAAGTTGACCACAAGCATTCTGAAAGCTGTCTCCAATGGATACGTATTCAACAAACATTTTATTTCTTAAATTAATTTGCTCAACAAATTCTTTTTTTTTTTTTGAGGCGGAGTCTTGCTCTGTTGCCCAGGCTGGAATGCAGTGGCGTGATCTCAGCTCACTGCAAGCTCTGGCCTCCCAGTTTCACACCATTCTCCTGCCTTAGCCTCCTGAGTAGCTGGGACCACAGGCTCCCGCCACCACACCCGACTAATTTTTTTGTATTTTTAGTAGAGATGGGGGTTTCACCGTGTTAGCCAGGATGGTCTCGATCTCCTGACCTCATGATCCGCCCGCCTCAGCCTCCCAAAGTGCTGGGATTACAGGCGTGACGACCACACCCATCAACAAATTCTTAAGAGCATACTGTGAGAAAGATGCTGCACTTAGACGGAATAAAATCCAAATTGAAAAACGCTCTCTTCTCCTCAAGCTGTATCACTACAGAGTAACAGATGGGTTATGACACAGATAACTTAAATATAAGGCATTACATGTTATTACAAAACTAACCACTTGGCAGGGCTCGGTGGCTCACGCCTGCAACCCAGCGCTTTGGGAGGCCAAGGTGGGCAGATGACGAGGTCAGGAGTTCGAGACCTGCCTGGCCAGCATGGTGAAACCCCATCTACCAAAAATACAAAAAATTAGCTGGGCATGGTGACATGTGCCTGTAATCTCAGCTATTCAGGAGGCTGAGGCAAGAGAATTGCTTGAACCCAGGAGGTGGAGACTGCAGTGAGCAGAGATCATGCTGCTCCATTCCAGCCTGGGAGACAGAGCGAGACTCTGTCTCCACCCCCATCAAAAACACACACACACACACAGACACACACACACACACACACACACACACACACCTCGCTCCTGTAATCCCAGCATTTTGGGAGGCTGAGGCGGGCGGATCACAAGGTCAGGAGTTCGAGACCAGCCTGACCAACATGGTGAAACCCCGTCTCTACTAAAAAAATACAAAAATTCCCCAGCCGCGTGCAGCGGCTCACTAAGTCAGGAGATGGAGACCATCCTGGCTAACATGGTGAAACCCCGTCTCTACTAAAAACACAAAAAATTAGCCGGGCATGGTCCCAGCTACTTGGGAGGCCGAGGCAGGAGAATGGCTTGAACCCGGGAGGCAGAGATTGCAGTGAGCCAATATCACGCCACTGCACTCCAGCCTGGGCGACAGAGCAAGACTCCGTCTCAAAAGACAAAAAAAATCCTTATAGACCCTAAATTGATTATTGTTTCCACTGTAAACCAAAATTTAAATATCAATATGGCTATTTTACTATTAGAGATAAAGCATTTGGAATTAACTAATTCACATTTTTAGAAGAAAAGTTTATTAACCCAAAAATCTTAACTGATTGCTAATATTTAAAAAAAAAACAATAACAACAACAACAAAAAACCTAGGCCGGATGCAGTGGCTCACACCTATAATCCCAGCACTTTGGGAGGCCGAGGCAGGCAGATCACAAGGTCAGGAGATCGAGACCATCCTGGCTAACACAGTGAAACCCCGTCTCTACCAAAAATACAAAAAAAATTAGCCAGGCGTGGTGGCGGGCACCTGTAGTCCCAGCTACTCGGGAGGCTGAGGCAGGAGAATGGCGTGAACCCGGGAGGCGGAGCTTGCAGTGAGCTGAGATCGCGCCACTGCACTCCAGCCTGGGCGACAGAGTGAGACTCTGTCTCAAGAAAAAAAAAAAAAAAAAACAAAACCTGATCATGGTAGATGATCAGGTTAGAAAGACCACTCCACAGACTGGCAAGTTTCATCTAAAGCTCTATCTCTGGAATATCAACTATACACGATTTTCTGATTTCCTGTTTTTTTCTTATACTTCAGAAACCAGATGGCCGGGTGCGGTGGCTCACACCTATAACCCCAACACTTTGGGAGGCCGAGGCGGGTGGACCACCTGAGGTCCAGAGTTTGAGACCAGCCTAGCCAACATGGCGAAACCCATCTTTACTAAAAATACAAAAAATTAGCCAGGCGTGGTGGCGGGTGCCTGTACTCCCAGCTACTCAAGAGGTTGAGGCAGGAGAATCGCTTGAACCCAGGAGGCGGAGGTTGCAGTGAGCCGAGATTACACCATTGCACTCCAGCCTGGGCGACAAGAGTGAGACTTCGGTGGGCAGAGAGGGAGAAACCAGAAAGCATAATCAGTAATACTGGGAAACAAAAGGTGAAGGATTCAGCCATATAGGAAGCTGACAGATTATCTGTAATGTTTACATGGCCCACCTAGTTGGTTCTTTTCAGAGAAATTAAAATTTCAATAGTAAAGCTAGTAGCTGTGAAGTTAAACAGCTCTGCTGGGCTCATTCTTTGGCACTGAGGTCTAGAATCCAAAGTACGAACCTTTTAAAAAATTTAAGGAAATGCAGAGTTCTTTCTTTTGAGAAAATGTACTCAGCCAGGCTAATTTCCAAAGATGTTCCCCTGAAGCAGCTGTCCTCTATTAAATAGGTTCTTTCCAGAGAATAACTGTTTTTCCAGCACTTGTCAGTGTTCATTCTTGAATATATGGTTAATAACTATGACTTGTGACATACAAGCAGATATATTGTCTCCTATACTATTTTTGCTGGACAGCCAGAAAGCAATAGGACATGAACTAAATTAGCATGGCCACCTCACATGGAATACTTTACTACTAGAGGTCAATAAGAAATGGAAAGAAAAAAAGTTACACCTGCAAATTCTGCAAAATCTAAATTAAAATGTTCAGTCAAGTTGTTTGACAAGACACCTTACACATGCGCAAAATTCTTCTTAAAATTCTGAATCTGGCTGGGCACAGTGGCTCATGCCTGTAAACCCAGCACTTTGGGAGGCCGAAGCAGGAGAACTGCTTGAGCCCAGGAGTTCGACACCAGCCTGGGCAACAACGCGAGACCCCATCTCATAAAAAAAAGAAAATTTTGGGGGGCAGGTGGGAGGGATAGGATTAGGAGATATACCTAATGTTAAATGACGAGTTAATGGGTGCAGCACACCAACATGGCACATGTATATATACGTAACAAACCTGCACGTGGTGAACATGTACCCTAAAACTTAATTAAAAAAAAAAAAAGGCAAGAAAATTTAAAAAAAAATTCTGGATCATGAAAAATATGTTGCTCCCCTAGACAAACTCATGTTTCCTTTTTAGTCAATGAGAAATAAGGAACTAATTGTTTTCTCTTCTGCCTCAGAGGAAAATGCCTAATAAAGCAACACAAAGGGTTTTCAATGTCTCATTCTCCTATCCTCTACTTAACAGCTTTCTAAATTTCTCCAACTAATCAACGACCAAGAATAAAAAACAATCACCATGTCATATTTTTATACTGAAAAATCATGGCGGCAGTAGCCACCCATCTCACCCCCACCATCTTCTCCCCTCCCCCTGCTCCCTCCCTCCAATCTCTCACTCTCCGACTTTCATCTCTCCCTACACCCCCCACCACCCTTAAAAAAAAAATCATGGCAAATCTCTAATCTACTCCACTATATAGTAATATTTGCTTAAGTTATTTGAAAATTTTTTTTTACATCAGATAGAATGCTTTTTTAACCTATATTTGTTGAGTAATATTGACACTTAAGGAAAATATGCCATGTTTATCCTATGACTTCAAGTACCACCGGGCAAGAAGCCAAAGGGCACTCAGAAATACACATATAACAGTTGGAACAATAAATCATATAACTGATATCTGTCAATTGTTTTAATTTTTTATTAAAAATAATTTTTCTGTGTGATTTTATTGCATGTAACTTCGCTTTTTTTTTGAGACAGAGTCTCACTCTGTCACCCAGGCTGGACTGCAGTGGCGCAATCTCAGCTAACTGTAACCTCCGCCTCCTGGGTTTTAAGTGATTTTCCTGTCTCAGCCTCCCAAGTAGCTGGGATTACAGGTGTGCACCACCACATCCGGCTAATTTTTGTATTTTTTTTTTAGTAGAGATGGAGTTCCACCATGTTGGCCAGGCTGGTTTCAAACTCCTGACCTCAGGTGATCCTCCGACCTCGGCCTCCCAAAGTGTTGGGATTACAGGTGTGAGCCACCACATCCAGACACATATTGCTTTTCCTGAAGACCAACAGATCTAAAGTGTGGTTACTCTGGCTAATGTTGATTATACAAAAAATGTAAGCTGGACACAGTGGCTCCTGCCTGTAATCCCAGCACTTTGGAAGGCTGAAGTAGGTGGATCACTTAAGCCCAGGAGTTCAAGACCAGCCTGGACAACACAGTGAAACTTCATCTCAACAAAAAATATAAAACTTAGCCAGTATGGTGGTGCATACCTGTAGTCCCAGCTGAGGCAGAAGGATCACTGGAGCCTGGGAATAGGAGGTTGCAGTGAGCAGAGATCACACCACCCCACACTCGAGCCTGGGTGACAGAGCAACACTCTGTCCCCACCCCAAAAAAAGCAAGCAAGCAAGAAATGTGAAGTCACATAATTGTGCACTTCCTTATTTATAAAAATACGTAGTATAGTGACTTATTTCATTCTCAGAGTTTTTCAGTATAACATTTGCAAATGCTACAAATTAAATGACCTCACAAACTGAAGATTAAACACAAGAAAACAGTGAGTCCTAGCAAATCAGAACACTTTGAAGATACTGAATCCATACTTTCAACTAGTTAGTATACAGTTATCACAAGGCAAACCTGAAAATTCTTATTTCAAACATTTCTGTTTTTTGAGGTTTTAGTGATGTGACAGGCAGTATTACTGATTTGAAATAAAATATAAATAAAATATAATTTCCTTATGAAGCAGGGTGAGGATAGTAAGACTGACAGATAAGCGTCTATTAACAAATGTTAATTCCATCCTTGCTTTAGGCAAGACACTGTCCTAGATGCTGTGGAGGTACAAGATTAAAGAGACACAGCCCACAAACTTATCACCCTTTCTATCTGTAATCAGAGATGGGGGTTGAAAGAGAATATGGGAATGAGATGGGTTACAAGGGGCTGTGAAAGAGAGAGATATATAAACAATATCTACTAAAACAGCTATAAAGATCTGCTTTATATGGGAACAGAGGACTTAATTCTGTCTGACAGAAACTAAGGGCAGGCTGATAAAGTCTGTATGAATCAAGGGACATGTTAATTATAAGTATGGATAGAATTTCAACAGGGAGCTTGGATAGGCAACAAAGACATGAGATGCCAGCAAAGCAAAAGGGAAGACTGTGGAGGTACATGCAGTAGTATGTGCAGGGGAGGGAAGACGGAAGCTAGAAACGTGGACTGGAGTGAGCCTTGAATGTCATCCTAAAAATATGGACTTTATGGCCGGGCACGGTGGCTCACGCCTGTAATCCCAGCACTTTGAGAGGCCGAGGTGGGTGGATCACCTGAGGTCAGGAGCTCAAGACCAGCCTGGAAGACATGGAGAAATCCCACCTCTACTAAAAACATAAAAATTAGCTGGGGGTGGTGGCGGGTGCCTAAAATCTCAGCTACTCGGTAGGCCAAAGCAGGAGAATCGCTTGAACCTGGGAGGTGGAGGTTGCAGTGAGCCAAGATTTCGCCACTGCACTCCAGTCTGGGCAACAAAGCGAGACTGCATCAAAAAAAAAGAGGGGGGGTACTTTTTTCTGTAAGAAATCCAAAACCATTAAGGATGGGTCTCACATAATATAAGCAAGAGTTTCATAAAATTATACTTATGTTTTAGAAATACAGGCAATGCTGACCGGGTGGAGTGGCTCACACGTAATCCCAGCACTTTGGGAGGCTGAGGCAGACAGATCACCTAAGGTGAGGAGTTCAAGACCAGCCTCACTTACATAGTGAAAATACAAAAAGTAGCCGAGCCTGGTGGCGGACACCTGTAATCCCAGCTACTTGGGAGGCTGAGGAGGGAGAATCACTTGAACCTGGGAGGTGGAGGTTGCAGTGAGCTAAGGTCGCACCACTGCACTCCAGCCTGGGCAAGAGAGGGAAACTCCATTTCAAACAAACAAACAAACAAAACCCTACATTTGGCCAGGTGTGGTGGCTCACACCTGTAATCCCAGCACTTTGGGAGGCCAAGGAGAACAGATTACCTGAAGTCAGGAGTTCGAGACCAGCCTGGCCAACATGATGAAACCCCATCTCTACTAAAAATACAAAAATTTGCTGAACGTGGTGGTGGATGCCTGTAATCCCAGCTACTCAGGAGGCTGAGGCAGGAGAATCACCTGAACACGGGAGGCAGAGGTTGCAGTGAGCCAAGATCGCACCACTGCACTCTAGCCTGAACGACAGAGAGACTCTGTCTCAAAAAAAACAAAAAACAAATGAACCACATTCATACACAGAAAAATGTCTGGAAGAACATACATCCAAACCGCCTACAGTGTTGCTTATGATGATGGGATTACAGGTGGTATTTAATTGATTATTTATACTTTGCTTCATTTTGTGAGTTTTTTGGGTTTGGTTTTTATTTTTTTTTAACAAAGAACTTGGAGGGAACATGAAAGGTATTTCTTTTTTCTTTTTTGGCAGCAGGGAGACAGAGTTTCACTCTAGTTGCCCAGGCTGGAGTACAATGGCTAGATCCCAGCTCACTGCAACCTCCGCCTCTGCAGTTCAAGCGATTCTCCTGCCTCAGCCTCTGAGTTGCTGGGATTACAGGCACCCACCACAACGCTAGGCTAATTTTTTGTATTTTTAGTAGAGACAGGGTTTCGCCACGTTGGCCAGGCTGGTCTCGAACTCCTGACCTCAGGTGATCTGCCCGCCTCTGCCTCCCAAAGTTCTGGGATTACAGGCGTGAGCCACCGTGCCCAGCAAAAAGCGATTTCTATTTTGAAAGATAATAAAAATTTGACGACAGCGAAAGACTCTTCTGGTTTTGTTTGTGTTGGGGGAAGGCATTAATAAATCTATTTTGGATTTGTTCAGCATGAGATGCCAAAAAGGAACTAAGAAGAGAAATGAAGGAAATATATACTCAAGTTTTAGCTATGTTTCACTTTGCTGAGGAGGTAATAATGTATACATTAAAATACAATATACAACAATGTCCTTTATTTTAGCTTCACTTAGTAGAGCTTGGATAAAGCCCCCAACCTAAGGCAAGTAATCAGACTTTCATTCATTTTAGAGTCGGTGTACTTCTAAAAGAGAGGGAAACTAATAAAAATTGTGTAGGTTGAAATATATTTTGTACTTACTTACAAAGCTGCCTTAATGAATTAGCTCTGTTTGGAATAGTCTGTACCA
Organism: Homo sapiens; assembly: GCF_000001405.40. Lineage (NCBI taxonomy): Eukaryota > Metazoa > Chordata > Mammalia > Primates > Hominidae > Homo > Homo sapiens. The sequence goes on along the minus strand of NC_000014.9, from coordinate 73,088,425 downwards.
GTGCTTTCTCTGGCAAGTTAACCTTGTCCAGCCTCCCTTACTACTTTCATCCCAACCTGGAACAAGCAAACCAACAGTCATCCACCCACTATGGGCAGATAAGACTTAAAATAACTACAAACTATAAAATACCCTCCTACATTAAGCCACAAGCACATACATGATGATCTTTTGAAGCCCCATATTAGATTCATTTATAATGAGAAGCACTACACTGAAATAGCACAGTCTGGCCTAGAAAAGATAACACGACAGAAAACATACCCCATTAGAAGCTTTCTTCTTTGCTTTCCATTCATCCAGCTGTGCCTTTGTCTTTGCATCAACTTTAACGAGTAGCTTTTTCTCTCCAATTTGCAGGTCATGTAATAATCTGAGTGCACGGAGGGTAGATTCTGGCTCCTTGTACTCACAGAATCCGAAGGCTAGCAATGGATGAAAACAATTAGTGAAATACCAATTCACTTACAAAAGAAAAAAAATTATGGAAAAGTAGAATCACTAGAGTCCAAATGTTTTAATACAAAGACCACTCAATTCATAATTCCACCCCTGTCCACCAATTCCCTTTGATAACCATTTCACTTTTAGTATCCTCAAACAACCAAAGGGGAAAAAAAGGGAAAAACAGAGAGGAAGAAAAATTCAAATCAGACAAACTGCTACTCATTAGAAGCTCTAATAAAATATTTAGCAGAGTCAATGAAATTCATGATTAAAAGGAGTCAATTGGCCGGGCGCGGTGGCTCATGCCTGTAATCCCAGCACTTTGGGAGGCCGAGGCGGGTGGATCACGAGGTCAGGAGATCGAGACCATTCTGGCCAACACAGTGAAACCCCGTCTCTACTAAAAATACAAAAAATTAGCCGGGCGCGGTGGCGGGCGCCTGTAGTCCCAGCTACTTGGGAGGCTGAGGCAGGAGTATGGCGTGAACCCAGGAGGCGGAGGTTGCAGTGAGCCGAGATAGCGCCACTGCAGTCCGGCCTGGGCGAAAGAGCGAGACTCCGTCTCAAAAAAAAAAAAAAAAAGAAAGGAGTCAATTATTTCATAAATTCACCCTATCTAGACTTCCAAACAGCCACAAGAAAGAACAGACTGCAGGAACACAAACAATGCACTTTTCAATTCTGAGATGTTAAATTACAGAATTTGTATCCTAGTTACCAGTCTATTTTACTTACATCTATTTCCTTTTATAACTAGTCAATCTCACTATTAAGATGACTTTAACAGAAATATTAAAACAAAATTAAATCTAAGAAGAGCAACCAACAAATTGAAAATAAAATCAAATAAATCTAAATATGTATATAATGACAGGAAACAGAAAAAAACTACTGATATTAAAATAGTAAATTTGACATTTCAGTGTGATATACCATAAAGACAAACAGATATGCCCCTCAAAAAAGTACCTTTAGGCCGGGCGCAGTGGCTCATGCCTGTAATCCCAGCACTCTGGGAGGCAGAGGCGGGCAGATCACCTGAGATCAGGAGTTCCAGACCAGCCTGGCCAACATGGTGAAACCCTCTCTCTACTAAAAATACAAAAACTAGCTGGGTGTGGTGGCACATGCCTGTAGTCCCAGCTACTAGGGAGGCTAAGGAAGGAGAATTGCTTGAACCCGGGAGGCAGAAGTTGCAGTAAGCTGAGATTGCCCCACTGCACTCCAGCCTGGGCAACAGACAGAGACCCTGTCTCAAAAAAAAAGAAAAGTAATTTTAAATGATCATATTGCTGATGATAGTGTCAATGTTGTTAGTGTGAAACTGTTATATGTGCAATGCAAGATAAAGCAACTCAGTAATTAATAGTTTATCATCCCCAATGGCCTTGAAACTCGGGGACCTCAGTGTGGGGAAAAAGGAGATACAAATATATGACAAAACAGGCTAAATAAAAACCTTTTAGTCCTGAATCTGAATTAGTATACACTGGAAAAACCTAAAAGCAAACACCAAACCACTGTTTTGTTTTTTTTTTTTTTTAGACGGAGTCTCGCGCTGTCACCAGGCTGGAGTGTAGTGGTGCAATCTCGGCTCACTGCAAACTCTGCCTCCCGGGTTGAAGCGATTCTCCTGCCTCAGCCTCCTGAGTAGCTCAGACTAAAGGAGCGCACCACCACACTCAGCTAATTTCTGTATTTTTAGTAGAGACAGGGTTTCACCATGTTGGCCAGGATGGTCTTGATCTCTTGACCCGCCTGCCTCAGCCTCCCAAAGTGCTGGGATTACAAGCTCGAGCCACCACACCCATCCCAAACCACTGTTAATATGAGTGCACCTAGTGTCCAGATCGTGATCTTCAAAACAATTTCCCCTGGAGAAATGGCTGATTCTAAGTCTGGGGCCGAAAACCTATTATACTAGATGACCTTAGAACAAATTGTCATACCAGATAACAAAGCAGCTGTCAAAGGTGTTCAGGGTCATGTCAAAACCACTGGAGATGTAAAGTGCAGAGACAATTTAAGTTAAGCTTTAATGGTGATAATAACTACAATGAATCCATATTAAATACAATAACACTAAATATGCTTCAATTCCTAAGTTCACAATAATTCAAAAGAAAAAAGAAAATCAGTCACTGCTAGAGAATGCTGAGGATAGCAACTCATTGTTTTAAGAAAGCAAGCCAGTGCATCTATCCTGCCTATTCTGTATTAAATATGCCTCTATGCCAGGCATGGTGGCTCAAGCCTGTAATCCCAGCACTTTGGGAGACTGAGGTGGGCGGATCACCTGAAGTCACGTGTTCAAGACTTGCCTGGCAACCAGGGCAAAATCCCGCCTCTATTAAAAAAACCAAAAAATTAGCCAGGCATGGTGGTGGGCGCCTGTAATCCTGGCTACTCAGGAGGCTGAGGCAAGAGAACCACTTGAACCCAGGAGGCGGAGGTTGCAGCGAGCTGAGATGGTGCCATCGCACTCCAGTCTGGGCAACAAGAGCGAAAAACTCCATCTCAAGAACAACAAAAATGCCTCTAAGTTACCAAACAGTAGATGCAGGGGCAACTTTCTCCATAGAGAAGCATTCTACTAATATATGAAAAAGATTTGTTCCTCAATAAAAGAATGACAGAATTCTTCAAAACAGACTACTGATGAGGCCGGGCGCGGTGGCTCACGTCTGTAATCCCAGCACTTTGGGAGGCCAAGGCGGGCAGATCACGAGATCAGGAGATCGAGACCCTCCTGGCCAACACGGTGAAACCCTGTCTCTACTAAAAGTACAAAAATTAGCTGGGTGGGGTGGTACATGCTTGTAATCCTAGCTACTCGGGAGGCTGAGGCTGGAGAATCGTTTGAATCAGGGAGTTGGAGATTGCAGTGAGCCAAGATTATGCCACTGCACTCCAGCCTGGCAACATAACAAGACTCTGTCTCAAAAAAAAGAAAAAAGACTACTGATGAATTACTTCCTAATGAATTAATCAATCTAGGCACTGGCAACACTGATGCTATTACACATACAAAAAAGACAATCTCACATGTGTTCCCTGATGGAAGAATACTACCTTTATAGTATTCTTGCTATAAGGTGCTAGAATAAAAACATTAAAAAAAAAAATAGCGGCCAGGAGCAGTGGCTCGTGCCTATAATCTCAGTACTTTGGGAGGCTGAGGTGGGCGGATCATAAGGTTAGCAGCTCAGGAGCAGCCTGACCAACATGGAGAAACCCCGTCTCTACTAAAAATAAAAAATTAGCCGGGCATGGTGGCACGTGCCTGTAATCCCAGCTTCTCGGGAGGCTGGGGCAGGAGAATTGCTTGAACCTGGGAGGTGGAAGTTGCAGTGAGCCAAGATCGCACCACTGCACTCCAGCCTGGGCAAGAAGAGCGAAACTCCTCCAAAAAAATAAAAAACACAAACAAAACAAAACAAACCACCACACAGCACACATCAAGTACAACTACTGACCACTTTACAGAAAACACAGAGGATAGATTAATGGCAAATTATAGTACTGGAGCTGCATTCAGCAAAACTCAACTTAAAAAATACTATTGCACAAATGACCCAGTTTCTTCAACAAATAAACTGCAAGGAAAATTAGAAATAGAATAACTTAAAATATTAAGAGTCTGGCCAGTTAGCTCAGTTGGTTAGAGGATGGTGCTAATAAAAAAAATTAGGAGACTTAAAACAAATTGCCAACTAGTTGCAATGTGTGGACTTCATATAGATCCTGAATCAAATCAACTATTTAAAAAATTAACATTTGAGGTCAGGTGTGGTGGCTCCTGCCTGTAATGCCAGCATTTTAGGAGGTCAAGGCGGGTGGATCATCTGAGGTCAGGAGTTTGAGACCAGCCTGGCCAACATGGTGAAACCCCGTCTCTACTAAAAATACAAAAATTAGCCGGGCATGGTGGCGCACACCTGTAATCCCAGCTACTCAGGAGGCTGAAGCAGGAGAACTGCTCCAACCCAGGAGGCAGAGGTTGCAGTGAGCCAAGATCACGCCACTGCACTCCAGCCTGGGTGACAGAGTGAGACTAGGTCTCAAAAAAAAAAAAAAAAAGTTAACAGGCCATGATTGTCTCTTCTTCTCCCTTACTAATTGTTCCATTTTGATCATGCAGTCATTTCTTGAGACAAAAGAGACTTTTGAAAGAACAAGAAACCAGTTAAATTGAGCAATTTTAATTTTTTCCTTTCCTCTTACACCTTTTTCCTCCTTCTGATCTCAATTCTCAGCCAATATTTTCCCAAACTGCCTTTTAACCCTATTTCAATAAAAAAGAGGACAAAGAGTGCTAATAAAATAAGTCTTACTGATAAAGACAATGAGAGTTAAGTCATGCAAAGTGATTTAAGCACACAGGTTAGTTAAAGTGATTTCAGCAAATAAGGAAAAAAATGACATACCTTGAAGCTTTCCGGAAGCACCTTGTACTCTCTTCCAGCTCAAAACCAAACCACATTTCTTAAAAAGAAAACAAAACAAACAGATTGCTACCATTTAACAAAATAATTTTTAATGTAACTAAAAGCAAAATTATATTTCTACTAGGGATAAAAAACATAAAATAAAAAACCAGCAACTACATTTGCGAAAATTTTTGCAATTCCCACAAACTTATCACATGAAAGAAATGAACAACAAATCATTTAAAGAAAAATATAAATTCTTACTGATTCTTCATTTGCAGAACATTGTTTACCTTTTATTAAAAGTTTCGCATCACTACTTATCCTAACAAAATAAACACGTAAACCTAAATGCCTAAAATTAGAATGGTTAAAACAAACTATAATAAATTTAAGTAAATATTATGAATCTATAAAGAAATGTTTTGAAACAATATGTATGTATTTATAAAGGATTTTTTTTTCTTTTGAGACGGAGTCTCGCTCTGTCACCCAGGCTGGAGTGCAGTGGCGTGATCTTGGGTCACTGCAACCTCTGCCTCCCAGATTCAAGCGATTCTTCTGCCTCAGCCTCCTAAGTAGCTGGGACTACATGCAGGCACCACCACGCCTGGATAATTGTTTTTTGTTTTTTTTTTTTTATTTATTTTTAGTAGAGACGGGGTTTCACCATATTAGCCAGGCTGGTCTTGAACTCCTGACCTCGTGATCTGCCCGCCTCAGCCTCCCAAAGTGCTGGGATTACAGGCACGAGCCACTGCGCCCAGCCATCCCATTAACATGGGAAAACGCTTGATACGGTATGCAAAAATAACTTGGGAAAAGAAAATGCAGATACACAGCAAGACTCTAACTATAAACAAAAACAGCTTTCTGTAAAAATAAAGAGAAATATTCCAAAATGTGAAGGAGGGCAGGTTATCTGAACGGTAGGACACTATTATACTTTAAAAATAAAAGCAGCGAGGTGTAGCTCACGTCTATAATCCCAACACTTTGGGAGGCTGATGTGGAAGGATTGCTTGAGCCCAGGAGTTCAAGACCAGCCTGGGCAACATAGGGAGACACTGTCTCTACAAAAACAAAAAAATTAGGCGGGCGTGGTGGCACACACCAGTGGTCCCAGCTACTCAGGAGGATGAGACGGATGGATGGCTAGAGCCCAGGAAATCGAGGCTGCAGTGAGCTGTAATCATGCCACTATGCTCCAGTCTGAGCAACAGAATGAGACTGTCTCAAAAAAGAAAAATAAAATAAAGTTCCATCCAGTTAAAAAAAAGACAGAAGGAGGAGGGTGTAGGTGAGAAATCTTCAGAGAACAAGAGAAAACTAATGGAAACTTGAAACATGGCATTAAAAATAAATATTTCAATGTAAGTCTGGAAGGTAAAGTTAAGGACAAATCCCAAGAACCCGTGCAAAATAGTAAGAGATGGAAAATAGGAAATCAAAAACACATAGGTCAAACCTGGAAGCTCAACATCCAAACAGAGTTCCTGAAGAAAGTAAAAAGAATTCTCAAATAGCTCAAAATTTTCTCCTGAAAAAAGGCTCCAGAACGAAATGGCCCACCAAGTAAGTGACCAACACAATGATATAAGAAAAATAAGAAAATCAAATAAACATTCGAAGAATTTCACATAATTAGGAACTAAAACCTCCAATCAGTCAAATCCTCACTAGGAGAGGCATTCCAGGGAAAAACAGTTCACACACAAAGAGCATTCAGAATGATGCGGGACTTCTGAAAACCATCATTAGATGCTATAACACGATAAGGCAGCACCTTCAATGTGAGGAAGATAAGCTTCATCACCGAATTCTATATCCCGGTAAACTACTGACCACATGAAATAAAAAGCACTTCAGATTTAGATTCAGAAAAGTTACCAACCACATACCCATATATACCATGTACATCATATACAGAGGATGTATCATCCCAATATAACAGGAACTACTATGTGTCGGCACAAGCAAGATATAGGATCCAAACCACCCAACACAGAACAGCAATAAGGGGAATACTAGAAAAGACAGAAAAAAATCCAAGGATAAAAGTAGACTTAGAGGAACCAGAACACATGAGACGAACAAAGGGACCTGACAGGAGGAGCTCTAGAAAAGAAGGGAAAAGAATCCCCACACTTTGGGAAGCCAAGGTGGGTGGATCACTTGAGGTCAAAAGTTCGAGACCAGTCTGGCCAACATGGTAAAACCCCATCTCTACTAAAAATACAAAAATTAGCCGGACGTGGTGGCGGGTGCCTGAAATCCCAGCTACTTGGGAGGCTGAGGCAGAAGAATCACTGACCCGGGAGGCGGAGGTTGCAGTGAGCTGAGATCGTGCCACTGCACTCCAGCCTGGGCAACAGAGCGAGACTCTGTCTCAAAGATAAAAAATAAAAAATTAAAATAAGAAAATGGACTAGGCAGTGGCTCACGCATGTAATCCCAGCACTTTGGGAGGCTGAGGCAGGGAGATCACTGGAGGTCAGGAGTACCAGACCAGCCTGGCAAACCTGGTGAAACCCCGTCTCTACTGAAAATACAAAAATTAGCCAGGTGTGGTAGCAGGCATCCATAATCCCAGCTACTCGGGAGGCTAAGGCAGGAGAATTGCTTGAACCCCGGATGGCGAGGTTGCAGTGAGCTGAGATCACGCCACTGCACTCCAGCCTGGATAACAGAGTGAGACTCCATCTCAAATAAAAAAAAAAAAAAAGAAAGAAAGAAAACAAACCAAAGAAAGAAAATACAATCATAGCACATAACCTAGTTCTGCTAAAACTATTTACATAATAATACTTATTATCAAGTTCGCCATCTTGTAACACCTGTAAGGAAGTAGGGAAGGGAGACTGAGGCCTTTAACAGTTTAGGCCTCAAGCTACCATAACATGTCAACAGATAATATCAAAATTATGAAGAACAGTAAAAAGGCATATTGAAATAGGAATAAGGTATTTCACAACACAATGTAAAATTCTAAATAAACACCAATTGTTAAAAAAGATGTGTAAGAGGGCCGGGCGCGGTGGCTCACGCCTGTAATCCCAGCACTTTGGGAGGCCAAAGCGGGCAGATCACGAGGTCAGGAGATCGAGACCATCCTGGCTAACATGGTGAAACCTTGTCTCTACTAAAAATACAAAAAATTAGCCGGGCATGGTGGCGGGCGCCTGTAGTCCCAGCTACTTGGGAAGCTGAGGCAGGAGAATGTCATGAACCCAGGAGGCGGAGCTTGCAGTGAGCCAAGATGGTGCCACTGCACTACAGCCTGGGCGACAGAGCAAGACTCCATCTCAAAAAAAAAAAAAAAAAAAAAAAAAAAAGATGTGTAAGAATAGAAACTCGGACATGACACTGCTGCAGTAAATATAAATAAATTGGTGTGGAATTATCTTGTAAAGCTGCAGATAAGCATGCCCTAAGACTCAGAAACGGCACTTCTATGAGAATTTGTGATGAGAATCTTTTCACATACACCTAGGGAGAAAACATTAGCAGTAATAACATAGCAAAACAGAGACTTCCAGAAGCAGACAGGAGCAAACACATTTCTATACTCCAGTACCTTCTGACTTTCCTGAATTCCATTAGAGCAGAGTAAGTGCTAGTTCTCTGCAGACCTCAGATTAGGCCTTGTGGCTACAGTGAAAAGAAGCCCAGGAGAAAACTCAAGAATAAAAATGGAGTCAGGCTTCAGACTGAAATTACCAAAAATCCCATGGAAGTAATAGAAGAAAACAAAACTGAGAAACCCAAAACATCCTCAAACCAGTTAATTAAAACTTACAGAGTGCCCAGGAGATCCAGTCTTCTAAAAGAACAGGAATTTCTTAAATATGAATAGTTGAGGAACAAGAATCATGAATGATGTAAAGTAATTGCCCAGCATCTCAGAGGGGCATAAGGAGAGCAGGCAACAATATTTCCAGAGGATGGCAAGATTGCAGGACTCATACTGAACTACTCATGAGGTGAACCACAGGTTGAGATAACCCTGGCCCTGTCCTTACAGAGAACCTACACAAGATTCTGGGATACAGACGAAGAATGACATCTTTGCAGATCCTCTCAGTGCAGAATATAGTCATTCTTCCAAACTCCTTTTTTTGTGTGTGAGACAAAGTCTAACATTGTCACCCAGGCTGGAGTGCAGTGGCGCCATCTCAACTCACTGCAACCTCCGCCTCCCAGGTTCAAATGATTCTCCTGCCTCAGCCTCCCGCGTAGTTGGGATTGCAGGCACCGACAACCACGCCTGGTTAATTTTTGTATTTTTAGTAGAGATGGGGTTTCACCATGTTGATCAGGCTGGTCTCAAACTCCTGACCTCAAGTGATCCACTCACCTTGGCCCCGCAAAGTGCCGGGATTACAGGTGTGAGACACCGCACCTGGCCTTATTTTATTATACAATCATTCAGCATTATTTCACTTAACAATGTACATGTATCATCAAGATAAAATCTTAAAAAGGTAAAAAAAGTGAATCAACAAGCTTACCAAATTTAAACAACTTATTACTATTCAAGCTCAGAATAAAACTTTAAAAGGAATCAGTCAATCATCATTGGATGCTAAAATCATTGTTTAACATCATTGGGGAAAAGGACTCACAGTCTCAAAATATTAACCCTAGCCAGGTGTGGTGGCCCACGCGTGTAATCTCAACACTTTGGAAAGCCAACGCAGGCGGTTTGCTTGAGGCCAGGAGTTCAAGACAAGTCTGGATAACATGATGAAACCTTGTCTCTAAAAAAACACAAAAATGAGCCAGGTGTCATGGCACGCGCCTGTAATCCCAGCTACTAGGGAGGCTGAGGCATGAGAATCACTTAAATACAGGAGGCAGAGTTTGCAGTGAGCCAAGATGTCACCACTTCATTCAGCCTGTGTGACAGAGCAAATCTGTCTCAAAAGTAAATAAAAATCTTTCATTGGATCATGGATGAAAAATAAAACAACTATTAATATTATGGCCATTACTGGGAAAATTAAATATGAACTACATGTGCATTAGTTAACAATATTATATCAATTTTATATATTTTTTTGTTTTAGAGACTCTCTTGCTCGGGCTGGAGTGCAATTACAAGATCATAGCTCACTGCAGCCTTCAACTCCTAGACTCAAGCAATTCTCCCACCTCGGATTCTGAACAGCTAGGACTACAGGCGTGCATCACCACACCTGGCTTTTTTTTTATTTTTATTTTTTAATCCCTGTCATTATTTTTTTGAGATGGAGTCTCGCTCTGTCGCCCAGGGTGGAGTGCAGTAGCGCGACCTCAGCTCACTGCAGCCTCCATCTCACGGGTTCAAGGGATTCTCCTGCTTCAGCCACCCGAGTAGCTGAGATTACAGGCACACGCCACCACGCCTGGCTAATTTTTGTATTTTTTGTAGAGACAGGGTCTCACCATGTTGGTCAGGCTGGTCTCGAACTCCTGACCACAAATGATCTGCCCACCTCGGCCTCCTGAAGTGCTGGGATTACAGGCATGAGCCACTGCATCTGGCCCTATTATTTTTTAATTTTTTGTAAAGATGTGTCTCGATATGTTGCCCAGGCTGGTCTCGAACTCCTAGCTTAAGAGATCCTCCTGCCTCAGCCTTGCAAAGGACTAGGATGACAACCACAGGCAAAAGCCACTGCACCCGGCCAAATTTCATGTGTGATAGTGGCATTGTGATTATGTCGCAGAATGTCCTTGCTCTTAGGAGATAAATGAAGGATTCACAGGTGAAATGTTATGCCACAATTTACTTTCAAATTATCCAAGAAAAAAGTGTGTGTGGTACACATGTGTACATAAAATATCTAAACATGTTCATTGGTGAATCTAGGAAAAGAATACAAACGTGTTCACTGTACTTTTTCACCTTTGCTGCAGGACTGAAATTTTTTAAAATAAAAAGCAATCACTGAAAGTCTTCTTTCTGCTTAAGTTTGAAATGTAGAATGATAAAAAAATTTTTAATGAAAAATAAACAGTTTAACTTACAGCTAAGAGTTGTCTTATAAGCATGTCTGAAGCTTTCTCGGAAATGTTGCCAACAAAAACAGTGGTAGTAGGACCACAATTTTCATCATTTTCTTTAGCCTTTAAGCCTGGATGATCCTTTCTTGCGCCCAAATGCTTTCCAACCATAGACACAGTGGGTACTAAGACCTAAGGTGAAGAAACAAAATAAAAATTGATCCAGCAATTAAATTTCCTACCACAATTAACATTAGGCTAAAAACATCAGGATTAAATAAATATATATAGCACATTATTTAAGCTCTGCATGCTTGTATACTTCTAAAGCTCCTAAAGTGCATAGCACATTTCATTAATGCAAACTTATTTGTGACAAGTAAACTTCTACTACTAGATTACCTTTCTTCTTAAAAAAGAAACAAAAATAACCAAGAAAACTTTGTTATGTTTAAGACATAATTTTTACTTTTATTTTCTGAAACGGAATTTCGCTCTGTCGCCCAGGCTGGAGTGCAGTGGCATAATCTCGGCTCACTGCAACCTCCGCCTCCTGGGTTCAAGGGACTCTCCTGCCTCGGCCTCCCGAGTAGCTGAGATTACAGGCGCGCACCACCAAGCCTAGATAATTTTTTGTATTTTTAGTAGACACAGGGTTTCACCATGTTGGCCAGGCTAGTCTTGAACTCCTGGCCTCAGGTGATCCTGGCCTATGTCTTGAACATTTAAAATTTATGCCTTAGGCCATATACCTTAGGAAGGTAGGAGGAAACATGTAAAAGGTAGTCCACACAAATTTCATTTCAAAATTTTAATTTTTACAAGGATTCCTATGTTCTTTTAAGAGATCAGACATGTCACATCCTTCTCCCATCTCCCAGGACCAAGATGAGAAGGCAATGAAGAGCCAAAGTCCTAAATTTGTAATAACAAGTATATGAAGAGTCTAGATAGTAACAGGAAAATCATAGAATTATCTACTTAGGGAGCACATTGCAAGGGCAACTGCATATATGCACACCTAAGTGAAAATGATACTTATTCAAATAAATGATATGCTCTACAGGGGTGCTGTCATTCTGTCCTTGTTATTCTTTTAAATACTCATAATTTATCTAAGTTTATCATGCTGTTCAGCTTAAAAGCACTAGCACTACCATAACTCATGATTCCTCCTTTAAGTTATACTTACAGTTGGAGCAGGAGCCATAATGCTCATTGGTACAGGAATCATTGGGGTCCCTAAGAAAAGAAAAACCACACTGATTTTACATGACTGCATTCTCTATCAACAACATGCCACACAATTAAGTATCCTTACTCATAATTAACATAAGTGGAAATATAAGACAAATGAAAGTGAAATACTGATAAATACTATCTTATTTTCAAAAGGAATGTGGTATCAGGTTGGTCCATATAAACTTACAAAAAAGACTATCCTGAAAACAAAATGGCCACCTCAATATGCTTTTGACTTAAAGAGCATAAAATCCTGGATAGTTATCCATTCGGGTTCATGTGGTTCGGTGATCCTCAAAACCAATGCCTTTCACAAATACAGACTGACTTATAGGTGAACAATGCTATTAAAGAATCCTTTAAAAGTAAAAACAGCTGGGCACGGTGGCTCACGCCTGTAATTCCAGCTCTTAGGGAGGCACAGGCAGGAGGACAGATTGAGCCCAGGAGATCGAGATCTGCCTGGGCAAAATAGTGAGACCCCGTTCTCCACAAAAAGGAAAAAAAAAAAAGACCAAAAAAAAGGTAAAACACGTCGTGCAACATGGTGATACAGTTAGTAAGTGTACTATATTCTTGAAAATAACTAAGAGAAAATCTCCACTTAAAATCTAGGGTGTTCTCACAACAACAAAAAATAAGTATGTAAAGTAATACACCAAGTGTTAATTAGCTCAATTTAGTCATTCCACAACATATGTTATTTCAAAACGTTGTGCATGATAAACATATAAAATTTTGTCAAATAAAGTAAAAACAAATCTTTTGACAGTTATTTTAAGCATGAGATGAGAAATTTATGTGTAAATCTAAGAAGAATCTTGTTATTCCTGGCTCTTTCGCAGAAAATAAAAATCATGGGCCGGGCGCAGTGGCTCACGCCTGTAATGCCAGCACTTTGGGAGGCAAAGATGGGTAAATCACCTGAGGTCAGGAGTTTGAGACTAACCTGACCAACATGGAGAAGCCCTGTTTCTACTAAAAATACAAAAATTAGCCAGGCGTAGTGGTGCGTGCCTGTAATCCCAGCTACTCGGGAGGCTGAGGCAGAATTGCTTGAACCCGGGAGGCAGAGGTTGCAGTGAGCCGAGATCACACCATTGCACTCCAGCCTGGGGGACAGGTGCAAGACTCTGTACCAAAAAAATAAATAAATAAATAAAATCATGCTTGTAGTTACAGCTATTCTGGAAGCTGAGGCACAAGGATCCCTGAGCCCAGGAGTTCAAGGCTGCGGTGTGCTAGCATTGTGCCTGTGTATAACCACTGTACTCTAGCCTAGGAAACATAGCAAAACTCCATTTCTTTATTTAAAAAAAAAAAAAAAGGCAGGGAGTGAGGGGACACGGTAGCTCACACCCATAATCCAAACACTTTGGGAGGCCAAGACAGGCACATCGCTTGAGCCAACACGGCAAAACCCCATCTCTACAGAAAATACAAAAATTAGCCGAGCATGGTGGCACACACTCATAATCCCAGTTATTAGGGAGACTGAATCAGGAGAATCACTTGAACCCAGGAGGCAGAGACTGCAGTGAGCTGTAATGGCACCACTGCACTCCAGCGACAGAGTGAGACTCTCTCAAAAAAAGCAAAACAAACAAAAAAAAAAATCAAAGAAATTTAAAATCTTTTCTATAAACCCAATCTACTGGTAAGGAAATTAAAGCACAGATTCTCCATAACCATCTTTTCTGATTCTAAACAAGCAATTAAGCTTACTGCCACCCCCCACCTCCCCACAAGACAGGGTCTTTCTTCCCTATGTTGTCCAGGCTGATCTTGAACTCCTGGGTTCAAGAAATCCTCCTGCCCTCAGCCTCCCAAAGTGATGGGATTACAGGTATGAGCCACCATGCCCAGCCTATAACTTCTAGAACACTCGGGCTTTGCATCATGGTTATGGTAAGGCCCATCGAAAAACGGATCTGAGTCAGTCATGGTGGCACACATCTATAGTCTCAGCTACTCAGTAGGCTGAGGCAGGAGGATCAGTTGAGTCCAGGAGATAGAGGCCACATTAAGTTATGGTTATGCCACTGTACCCCCAGCCTGGGAGACAAAGAGAGATCCTGTCTCAAAAAAATTAATAAATTAAAAATTAAAACCCAGAACTGCATTATGAGCCTATAAATATATGAAGAAAATCAGGATATACGGACCAAAGAGAAAACTGAAGCCCAAATGAAAGTTGTTCAAAACACTTTCCTTCTATAACTATTAATCTGTTTGATGGCTGATAACTAACTTTATTCAGTTTTCTGCAACATTTTCTCAATTTTCTCAATAGAATTTCCTTTCAGCAAAATTCATTTTAAGAAAAAACTTTGTCCAAAGGGCCAGCTAGAGCCTTCCAGTAGAATTTAGTCTATTTATGGTCCATTATAAAACAACTAAGTTACTACTTAAAATCAGTAATTGTTACATGGGATAATAAAGCAGTAGTGTAAACTTTTACATTACTCTTCTGGCAGCAGATGATAACAAATATACATCCATGATTATCTAGAAGCACAGCGTAAAGCAGCTCCACTACAAGCATAATGTCTAAAATAGCTTATTAAAGTACTGCATTCTATTCCATAATATACATGCATAAACAGTTGTTCTGATTTTTTTTTCTTTTTGAGACAAAGTTGCATTCTTGTTGCCCAGGCTGGAGTGCAGTGGCATGATCTCAGCTCACTGCAACCTCTGCTTCCCAGTTTCAAGCGATTCTCCTGCCTCAGCCTCCTGAGTAGCTGGGATTCACGCCTGAGCCACCACGCCCAGCTAATTTTTTGTATTTTTAGCAGAGATGGCATTTTGCCACGTTGGCCAGACTGGTCTCTAACTCCTGAACTCAGGTGATCCACTCACCTTGGCCTCCCAAAGTTCTGAGGTTACAGGCGTGAGCCACTGTGCCCGGCCTGATTTTTTTAAATTATGATTTTCCCCAAATTCTTGAAGTGTTAAATAATATTCCACAGAAATTCCCATATTTATCTTGGGGCTTTTCAGACCCAAGGGTAGAAGGTTCCCAAAGCTGAGCCTGTGGCAGTAAATTAAAAATTTTACAATGAGTAGTTGAATCCAAAATAAAGACAAGGTCAGGTGCAGGGGCTCACATCTGTAATCCCAGAACTTTGGAAGGCTGAGGCAGGAGTATACCTTGACCCCAGAAGTTCAAGACCAGCCTGGACAAGATGGTGAGACCCCCATCTTTATAAAATGTTTTTTAAAAAAATTTTAATTAACTGAACATGGTGGCAAAAGCCTGTGGTCCCAGCTCCTCAGGAGGGCTGAGATGGGAGTCCAGGAGGTCAAGGCTGCAGTGAGCCATGATCGTGCCACTGTACTCCAGTCTGGGCAACAAAGTGAGGCCTCGCCCAAAACACACATACACACACACGCACACACAAACAAAATAAAGACAAATGTGCTGTTTATACAACCCCCGTAACATACATGCTATGAATTAACAACCCATCATAAGTCAGCCAACTGCAATGTTCTTAAGTCAAAAGAAAAATTTCTTATAAGCAAAGATTTTTGTTTTTTCAAAGATGAGGTCTCACTCTTTGGACTTGAACTCCTGGGCTCAGGCCATCCTCCCACCTCAGTCTCCTGAATAGCCAAGACAACAGACACGCACCACCACACCCAGCATAAGCAATGTTCACTATGTACTTCAGGATAATGGTTCTCAAATGTGGATTCTCCATGCTTAAATGAGTGCCAAAAATTACCTGTGAACTTGTTAAAAATTAAGAATCCTGAGCCCCAATTTCTGAGGATCTGATTCAGGGGGATGGAGCAGGGTCTGAACATTTTTTTTAACTCCATAAATCTTTACTTATATTGACTTATAATATACACTTTTAAGTATCTGGAAAAATCAAGAAAAAACTAATAACCTTATTGCTTCCCTTTTTAGTAAGGGGATAGCAATAGCAGTTATGGGAGTATATGAAGAAAATTTTTCACTGTATTACTTTCTGTATTTTTTTTTTGTTTTTGAACAATGTGTATGTATTACCCATTTTTTTTAAATATAGAATTTTTAGGCTGGGCATGGTGGCTCACACCTGTAATCCCGCACTTTGGGAGCCGGAGGCCGGCAGATCATTTGAGGCCAAGAGTTCGAGACCAGCCTGGCCAACATAGCAAAACCCTGTCTCTACTAAAAATATAAAACTTAGCCAGGCATGGTGGCAGGTGCGTGCAATCCCAGCTACTCAGGAGGCTGAGGCAGAGAACTGCTTGAGCCTAGGAGGTGGAGGTTGCAGTGAGCGGAGATCGTGCCACTGCACTCCAGCCAGTGTGACAGAGCAAGACTCTAGCTCAAAAAAAAAAAGAATTTTTTAAAAACTTTCCAGATGAGAAGAAAAAAAAAAATTTCCAGATGAGTTTGATACTCAGCCAGATATAAAAGCTACTGCTATAGGAAAAAGAGACATCCACATTTCCCAAACAACGCTGAGAGGCATCTTCACTAACACAGTCACATATCTAACATTTTCCTGAAGTTAGTATCACAAAGACAAAAGTACAAGTTTAACGACAAAAAACAGTATCAACAAACTTACCTGGAGGTACAGGTGGAGGAAATCCTGGAAACTGCGGGGGTGGGATCCCTGGTGGGAGTGCTGGGATTCCCATGGGAGGGCGATTCAAATGAGGTGGAAAAGACATTCTTACTGCAGCAGTCTAAAGAAAAAAGGACATGACAAATCATTTTATTTGAAAACGTCACAATTTTATATGCCTTCTTTGTTGACTTTCATTTTTAGAGTATCTGCAAAATTCTGAACTTTTCTTACCCAAAGAAATTGGCAAAGACCCTCTTTTCATTGAGAATTCTTACGACTTAGATTTTTTCTAAAATAAGTTTCCAAAATGTACATGATCGAAGTTCAGGACAGACTCCTACAATCATGTAGGAATACATATAAAGGAAGAAAAAAATTTTGAGGTTCAGTTAATATCCAAAAATTAAATACCACACATAAACGAATCTTTTTAGACCAAACTGAGAATTCAGATGGGTATCTAATAGTTTTTAAGTGTTCTGATTTTTTTTTTTTTTTTTTTTTGAGACAGAGTCTCACTCTGTGGACAGGCTAGAGTGCAGTGGCGCAATCTCTGCTCATTGCAACCTCCGCCTCCCGGGTTCAAGCGATTCTCCTGCCTGAGCCTCCCAAGTAGCTGGGACTACAGGAGCGTACCACCACGCCCAGCTAATTTTTGTATTTTCAGTAGAGACGGGGTTTCACCATGTTGGCCAGGATGGTCTCCATCTCTTGACCTCAAGTGATCCACCCTCCTCGGCCTCCCAAAGTGCTGGGATTACAGGCGTGAGCCACCATGCCTGGCCTTTTTTTTTTTTTTGAGATGGAGTCTCGCTCTATCGCCAGGCTGGAGTGCAGTGGTGCAATCTTGGCTTACTGCAATCTCCACCTCCTGGGTTCAAGCAATTCTCCTGCCTCAGCTTCCTGAGTAGCTGGGATTACATGTGCGCGCCACCACGCCCAGCTAATTTTTATCTTTTTAGTAGAGACGGGGTTTCACCATGTTGGCCAAGATGGTCTCGGTCTCCTGATCTCACGATCTGCCTGACTCAGCTTCCCAAAGCGCTAGGATTACAGGCCTGAGCCACCGCGCCCGGCCCATTTTTCTTATATCTATCAGAATCCTAAAAACTAAAGGTACCAAGTTACACAGTATTTGTTGCTTCAATGCTGGCCACTACCTAAGAGACAAATGTGCTCATGAACCATACATCTCAGCAGGGGGAAATAAACTCCTGACTTCCAGTCAGATAGTAACCATTCAAATATAAAGAGAACATACAACTTTTGACAAGAGAAAAAAAAGTCATAGTTTTTTTTTTTAAACTTAAAAGTAAACTTTGTAACCATTCTTGAATCAAAACTGAAGAATCAGAAGCTAGCATTTGATTTTTTAAAGTTTAAGAACAGGTTGGTTGCAGTGGCTCACGCCTGTAATCCCAACACTTTGGGAGGTCAAAGCGGGTGGAAAACCTGAGGTCAGGAGTTCGAGACCAGCCTCACCAACATGGCGAAACCCCGTCCCCACTAAAACAAACAAACAAAAAAAAATTAGCAGGGTATGGTGGTGTGCGCCTGTAATCCCAGCTACTCGGGAGGCTGAGGCAGGAGAATCACTTGTAATCCACTGCACTCCAGCGTGGGTGACAGGGGAAGACTCTGTCTCGGGGTGGGAAGAAAAAGAAAAAGAAAAAAAAGAACACATTTAACTGTTTCACTTAGTTTGTCATGTTAAAGAAAACTTTGTCATTTTATTAAGTATTGCCATTTAATGTTAATATTTAAACATTAGCATTTTTAGTATTAAAAACAATTTCCAAATTAGCCAAGCATGATAGTGCATACCTATGGTCCCAACTACTTGGGAGGCTGATGCAGGAGGATGGCTTGAGGCTGAGAGACAGAGAAAGACCCTGTCTCAAAAAAAAAAAAAAAAGAAAGAAAAAAATTTTTTTTTCACCTCAAACTTTATTTTCAGCAACACACTTTTTTTTTTTTTTTTTTTTTTTTTTTTTTTTTAAGAAACAGGGTCGGCCAGGCACGGTGGCTCATGCCTGTAATCCCAACACTTTTGGGAGGCCGAGGCGGACACATGACCTGAGGTTGGGAGTTCAGGACCAGTCTAGCTAACATGGAGAAACCCCATCTCCACTAAAAATACAAAATTAGCTGGGCATGGTGGTGCATGCCTGTAATCCCAGCTACATGGGAGGCTTAGGCAGGAGAATCGCTTGAACCAGGGAGGTGGAGATTGTAGTGTGCCATTGCACTCCAGCCTGGACAACAAGAGCAAAATTCCATCTCAAAAAACAAACAAAAATATTTGTCTCTACTATTTTGTCTTTCATGTTTTACAGAAACATAAAAAGAGAAAACATAAAAAGTTTAAGTCTTCCACTTCCTTGCCCCCAATCCCAACAGTTTGGTATCTACTGCTGTGCTCTTCTTAATATCATTCTATGAACTAATAATTTTTATTTTTCTACAACCAATCACATCATGTGAATTTCTCCCTCGTTATAATTGCCATCTCTTCATGTCAGTTCACAAAAGTTTTATTCCAAGCCGGGATGGTGGCTCACGTCTGCAATCCCAACACTTTGGGAGGCCAAAGCAGGGGGCTCACGTGAGGTCAAGAGTTCTAGACCAGCCTGGCCAACATGGTGAAACCCCATCTCTACTAAAAATACATAAATCAGCCAAGTGTGGTAGCACATGTCTGTAATCCCAGCTACTCGGGAGGCTGAGGCAAGAGAATCACTTGAACCCAGGGTGCGGAGTTTGCACTGAGCTGAGATCGTGCCACTACACTCCAGCCTGGGTGACAGAGTCTGTCTAAAAAAATAAAAAATAAAAATAAAGTCTTATTCCACCTTTATAATGCAGTAAATTGGCTGGGCGTGGTGGCTCACGCTCATAATCCCAGCACTTTGGGAGGCCGAGGTGGGTGGATCACAAGGTCAAGAGATTGAGACCATCCTGGCCAGCATGGTGAAACCCCATCTCTACTAAAAATACAAAAATTAGGAGAGGGGGTGGCTGCAGTAATGAGAGGCTGGTGCTGCAGCTCTTTTCCTGCAGTCCAGCCAAGGAAGCGTGCGTCCCTGGCGCTTCCTTCTCTTTGGACAGAGAGCTTGGGATGTGGTAATGCCAGCCAGACTTCTCAGAGCCATGGTCAGATCTACCGTACACTGGCAAAAGCACATCAGTGCCAAAGAATTGGTCATCTAATGTTAAAACCACTAAAGGAATTTGAAAATACAACATGCGGCACACTGACAATACGTCAAAACTTGGATTTGTTCCTTCCTGATAATACAGCTGGTAGTCTGAATAAGTCTCAGATCCTGTAAATGAACCAAAAAAAAAAAAAAAAAATCAAATACAAGCATTGTCTCTCCATTAAATGCTGCTCACTGCCAAGACGAAAAGGCACACCTTCCAACCATGAAATCCTTTGGTACTCACAAGAGAGTGACCCACAAACCAAATCTATTGGGGTCTAAATGGTTTATAAAAATATTAAAGAGGCATTTCTCATCTGTATCAATGGAAACATTTGTTCCAAAACAAGGCTTTCCACATATCAAGAGACCACTAAAGCATCCAGGACCAAGCAGCCATCTAGGACCAACCTTCCAGTTCTGTCTGTGAACGAGGTAAAGTTGGGGTGGTCGTAGCTCATGTGCTTAGTGATCACTGCTCACGCTAAACCAGTGTGCGCTGCACCCCAGCCTTACCGCCAACTTAAGAAACTGGCAGTCAACTCAGACTGCTCCATCAAGATCTTTGAAGCCTAATAAATATCCAAAGAGATTCAAAATCTTAATTTTTAAGAATTAATGATACATATAAAAACAAAATACAGGCCGGGCGCGGTGGCTCACACCTGTAATCCCAGCACTTTGGGAGGCCGAAGCGGGTGGATCACGAGGTCAGGACATCGAGACCACGGTGAAACCCCGTCTCTACTAAAAATACAAAAAAAAAAAAAATTAGCTGGGTGCGGTGGCAGGCGCCTGTAGTCCCAGCTACTAGGGAGGCTGAGGCAGGAGAATGGCGTGAACCTGGGAGGCGGAGCTTGCAGTGAGCCAAGATCGCGCCACTGCACTCCAGCCTGGGCAACAGAGCGAGACTCTGTTTCAAAAAAAAAAAAAAAAATACAGGCAATAAAACATGAAAAAAATACAAAAATTATCCAGGCGTGGTGGCACATGCCTGTAGTCCCAGCTCTTGGGAGGCTAAGGCAGGAGAATTGCTTGAACCCGGGAGGTGGAGGCTGCAGTGACCCGAGATCAAGCCACTGCACTCCAGCCTGGTGACAGAGCAAGACTGCCTCAAAAATAATAAAATAATAATAATGCAGTAAATTATTATAATACGGACATATTTATTTAACCAACATTAACAGTTGGCTCCACTTTCAGCTCTCACAAATAATGTTGAACATTCCTGGAGATAATAGACATATAACTGTATGCATCTGTACAGGTAATTCTCTAATACAGGTTAGAACTATATGTATCTGATTAGCTGGGTGTGATGGCAGGTGCCTGTAGTCCCAGCTACTCAGGAGGCTGAGGCAGGAGAATCGCTTGAACCTGGGAGGCGGAGGTTGCAGTGAGCCGAGACGGTGCCATTGCACGTCAGCCTGGGCGACAGAGCAAGAATCCACATCAAAAAAAAAAAAAAAAAAAATTATATGTATCCAAACTTTACCTCCAAAATCATCCCTGAAAACTAGCATATAAATGTATATTCCCACCACCAGAATATGGGTATGCCCTTTCCTCATATCCTCATCATTGGTAGAATAGATCAGTGTCAAAATTCTCACAATTTCATAAGTAAAATATACTCTTATTTCAATTTACATTTCCCTCATGACTAATGAGGTTGAGTATGCGTTTACCTGTTTACTAGACATTTCTTTAAAACAGAAAAGCATGACCTACATGCTCACAGCTCTACTTCCTCAGAATTCCTTTGACTTAAATTGGGATAATACCATATTCAATAAAACTAAACTTCAATTTCAGAAAACACAGTATACTTAAAATATTTAGAAAACTTTATAGGTAAAGGAATCCCTAGGATGCATTTTTTTTTTTTTTTTTTTGAGATGGAGTCTTGCTCTGTCACCCAGGAGTGCAGAGGCACCATCTCAGCTCACTGAAACCTCCGCCTGTCGGGTTCAAGCGATTCTCCTGCCTCAGCCTCCCAAGTAGCTAGGATTACAGGTGCACACCACAAGGCACGCACGACCAAGCTCAGCTAATTTTTGTATTTTTAGTAGAGACGGGGTTTCACCATGTATGGCCAGGCTGGTCTCAAACTCCTGGCCTCAAGTGATCCGTCGGCCTCGGCCTCCCAAAGTGCTGGGATTACAGGTATAAGCCACTGCGCCCAGCCCTTAGGAGGATTTAATATACTTGGCAAATGAGGTATTAGAAATGTTTTAAACAGTAGGTAGGTTATCAGTACATATTAACAATGAAAAACACAAGATTGCAAGACTGTAAATGTGTTGAGTTTTAAAATAAACTTTCTGTAAAACTTTTTGACCAAAACCAAAAACTGGGGGTGGTATCTCTTTTTAAAACAGAAAGGGCTACTGTCCTACTTACAGAAGCTCTTCTATTATCATTATAATAGCCTATCTCAGTGCTTTCTTAGGATAGTTGGTTTTCATACCTGTTGAATAAACTGATTAATGAATAAATCAGTAAACAAACTCTGAGGACTTCAATAAACAAATTTATTATGCTATCTCATGCCGCATACTATATTCTAGCAATGGCCCAGTGCCTAGCCTCACAATGGTTACAAGACTGGGCCATGAACTCATTTTTAAAACCACTTTTCCCCCAATAATATTAGATATAAATAATGCTTAAAAACTAAAACTCTCGGTCAGGGGCGGTGGCTCACACCTGTAATCCCAGCACTTTGGGAGGCCAAGGCGGGCAGATCACTGGAGGTCAGGAGTTCGAGACCAGCCTGGCCAAAATGGTGAAACCCCTGTCTCCACTAAAAATATAAACACTGGGCTGGGTGAGGTGGCTCATGCCTGTAATCCCAGCACTTTGGGAGGCCAAGGCAGGCAGATCACAAGGTCAGGAGATCAAGACCATCCTGGCCAACACGGCGAAACCCCGTATCTAATACAAAAAGTTATCCAGGCATGGTAGTGTGCGCCTGTAGTCCCAGCTACTCAGGAGGCTGAGGCAGGGGAATTGCTTGAACCTGGGTGGCAGGGGTTGCAGTGAGCCAAGACTGCGCCACTGCACTCCACCTTGGCGACAGAGCAAGACTCAGTTTCAAAAAAAAAAAAAATTAGCTGGGCACAGTGGCTCACCCCTGTAATCCCAGCACTTTGGGAGGCCGAGGCAGACCGATCACTTGAGGTCAGGAGTTGGAGACCAGCCCGGCCAACATGGTGAAACCCCGTCTCTACTAAAATACAAAAACTAGCTGGGTGTGGTGGCGGGTGCCTGTAATCCCAGCTACTCAAGAGGCAAAGGCAGGAGATCACTTGAACTCGGGAGGCCGAGGTTGCAGTGAGCCGAGATCGCGCCACTGCACTCTAGCCTGGGTGACACAGTGAGACTCTGTCTCAAAAGAAAACAAACAAACAAACAAACAAAATTAGCCAGGTGTGGTGGTGCGCACCTGTAATCCCAGCTACTCTGGAAGGTGAGGCAGGAGAATTGCTTGAACCTGGGAGGCAGATGTTGCAGTGAGCCGAGGTCGCGCCACTGCACTCCAACCTGAACGACAGAGTAAGACTCCGTCTAAAAAAAAAAAAAAAGTAAAACTCTATATTCTTGGTATTTAAGTTATATTTTATGGTTTTTAAATGTGTAATTCATTCTGCAGAGTTAACCAGATATATTTAATTTTCGTTTATGCCAATATACCCATTCCATTCACTTCAAATTTTTCCATAACATATTCCCCTTTATTTGGAGCTGCCAAAACTTGCTTGTTGATAGGCTGGACTTCAAAGGTGAAGGCAAAAATACCAGTTAACAGCTAATTTTTATGGATATTCCTTTAAGATAACTGGCCTCTCCTGGGCGCGGTGGCTCACATCTGTAATCCCAGCACTTTGGGAGGCTGAGGCGGGCGGATCACAAGGTCAGGAGTTCGAGGCCAGACTGGCCAACATGGTGAAAGCCCGTCTCTATTAAAAATACAAAAATTAGCCAGGAATGGTGGTAGGCGCCCGTAGTCCCAGCTACTCGGGAGACTGAGGCAGGAGAATTGCTTAAACCTGGGAGGCAGAGGTTGCAGTGAGCTGGGACCGCGCCACTGCACTCCAACCTGGGTGACAGAGCGAGACTCCATTTCAAAACAAAAATAAAAAAGATTGGTCTCTCATGGAAAATCAGAAAACATTTCTCATCTTTGATAAATACTAATGTCCACTTTAAGCAGCCTAAAAGATTACCAACTACTTATTTCAACACAGGTTTATGTGTTTTGCCATGTGAAACTGATTGAGAATTAACTTTCATAATCATAAGCAAAGCTTATCTGTTACCTATAGATGATAAACAAAATAAATTATAATACATTGAAAGATGGTATGTACTTTGTAGAAAAATAAATTAGGGAAGAGAGCTATGGAGTAGTTTATTTTAAATACAGCGATTAGGCCTCACCAAGAAGGTGAAGATTAGAACAAAGATTTAAAAGAGGCAGAGGCAGGAAGCCCTATTCATATCTGGGGGAAAGAGACTTCCAAGCAAAGGAAAAGACAAATACAAAGAGGCTGAAGCAGGAATGGTGTATTTGAGGGAGGAATAGCAAGGCCAACAGTATGACTGGAGCAGAATAAATGAAGAAAATCAGAAATAAATACTGAGTATTATGAGTAGAGTGTAGGGCTATGTAACACAATGTAAATAAACATTTTAGTTTTAACTCTGAATGAGGTGAAAATCATTTGAAGAGTTTCTGACTTGTCACATTTTAACAGTATCACTGGCCACTGTGTTAAGCCTGGAAGGGAACAGGATACAAGCAAGAGACTGGTACAATAATCCATATAAGAGATGGTAGCCTGGAGAGATGGTGGCCTGGAACAGGTGGTAGTGGTGAAAGTGCTATCAAGTTGTTGGATCCTGGATATATTTTGAAGGCAGCCAATAGGATTTGCTGAGGGATTGTATAATATGTGGGATTTAAAAGAGAGAAATGCAGAGTTATCTTATGGCACTGAAATCATTTCCATAGCATTTTTTAAAATATTGAAAGTACCTCACATTTTAGAAGGTTCAAAGCACCTTTTCCTGCTAAGTATGAAACTCCGGGCCGGGCGCGGTGGCTCAAGCCTGTAATCCCAGCACTTTGGGAGGCCGAGGTGGGTGGATCACGAAGTCAGGAGATCGAGACCATCCTGGCTAACACAGTGAAATCTCGTCTCTACTAAAAATACAAAAATTTAGCCGGGCATAGTGGCAGGCGCCTGTAGTCCCAGCTACTCGGGAGGCTGAGGCAGGAGAATGGCGTGAACCCGGGAGGCGGAGCTTGCAGTGAGCAGAGATTGTGCCACTGCACTCCAGCCTGGGCGACAGAGCCAGACTCCATCTCAAAAAAAAGAAACTCTATAGCCCACGATAATAAAAACAGGAACCTGGGCCAGGTGCAGTGGCTCATACCTGTAATCCCGGCGTTTTGGGAGGCCAAGGCATGCAGATCACTTGAGCTCAGGAGTTCAAGACCAGCCTGGGCGACATGGTGAAACCCCATCTCTACCAAAAATACAAAAAATTAGCCAGGTGTGGTAGCATGCACCTGTGGTCCCAGATACTCAGGAGGCTGAGATGGGAGAATCGCTTGAGCCCGGGAGGTGGAGGTTGCAATGAGCCGAGCTCACACCACTGCACTCAAGCCTGGGCGACAGAGTGAGGCCCCCCAAAAATTAAATAAAATAACAGAAACCTATGATAGAAGGGTTCCCTACCTCTAGTGTAGCGGTGGTCACACAAGTATATGCATTTGTCTAAACTCATTGAAATTAAAACAGATGCATTTTATTGTATGCAAATTTTATCTCAAGAAATCTGGTCCAAAAAGAAACCCTGAAGACATATCTCTAGTACTCAACATATGCATGCACTCAGCTTTTCTTTTTTCACTTTTTTCTCTTTGAATCTTTCAAACTATTTTTTTCTGCACTCTTAAGAATACTGCAAGTATGCAAAATACAGCAAAACACTGCTAATAAGCATTCCTCTATTGTAGACTTATCCAGATAGAAACAAAATTATTTCTCCCAGGATAGATTATTTTAGACTAGCTCCATCAGTACACTACGTGCCAAATTTCTGAAATGATAATGAACTGAGATTCCTCTGAGCAAATATTCACATACAACTCACTCATTCATTCAATATCTACTTCCAATTATGTGTCAGGTCTGCAGGAATTATTCCTAGAAAAAAAAAAGTGTTTTATGCCCAAAGAAGAATGGGAAATGCTTAACAGAAAAACTACTTTTACAGCAAAGCTTTTCAGAAGTATGAAAATACTCAATTGTTTGGAAATCTCCAAAAAAGAGTTGATCTTTTTCTGACATTGCCACTTTTGTTGTTTTACCATTTTCAATGATTAAAGAGCAACACTCCTGTGCCTGCCTATAGTCACAGCTACGCAGGAGGATCACTTGAGCCCTGGAGTTCTGGGCTGCAGCACGCTACTGATCAGGTGTTCATGCTAAGTCCATTCAGCATTAATATGGTGACCTCCTGGGATGAGAGAGAACCACCAGGTTGCCAACAGAGAAGGGCAAAACTCCCAAACTGATCAATAGTGGGATTACGCCTGTGAATAGCCACTGCACTCCAGCCTGAGCAACACAGGAAGAATTCATCTTTTTAAAAACAAAAACAAGGCTGGGCACAGTGGCTCATACCTGTAATCCCAGCACTTTGGGAGGACGAGGCAGGTGGATCCTTTGAGCCTGAGTTCCAGACCCGCCTGGGCAACATGGTGAAACCCCATCTCTACCAAAAATACAAAAAAATAGCCAGGCATGGTGGCGTGCACCTGTGGTCCCAGCTACTTGGGAGGCTGGGGTGGGAGGATTGCTTAAGCCTGAAATGCGGAAGTTGCAGTGAGCCAAGATCGCAGCACTGCCCTCCACCTGGGTGAAAGAGACCCCATCTCAAAAACCAAATAAAACAAAAAAGCAGCGCTATCTACTACTATCTATACAGAAAAATGAGGGCTTGCCTGAAACTGGGGTGGAACAGGGTGACTTGCAAACAGACAGAAGGAATCCTTTTGGGGTAATGGATGCATAACTTTGTATATTTACCAAAAATCATTGAATTGTGCACTTACAGGTGAATTTTCTATGTCAATATAGTTCATATAGCTGCCATTTTAAAAAAGGCATATTGGCCAAGTGCGGTGGCTCACGCAATCCCAACACTTTGGGAGGCCAAGGCGGGTGGATCACCTGAGGTCAGAAGTTCCAAGACCAGCCTGGACAACATGGTCAAACCCCGTCTCTACTAAAAATACAAAAATTAGCCAGGCATGGTGGCAGGCACCTATAATTCCAGCTTCTATGGAGGATGAGGCAAGAGAATTGCTTGAACCCGGGAGGCGGAGGTTACAGTGAGGTGAGATCGCGCCACTACACTCCAGCCTGGGTGACAGAGCGAGACTCCATCTCCAAAAAGGAAAAAAAAAAAAAAGTACACCAACTCAGAAAAATCGGCAAAATCTATTTAAGAACTGTAGATTAGGTATTTTATCAGTGTTAGTTTCCTGATTTTGATTGTCGTACTGTTGTTAGGTAAGACTAGTCCTAATTTTTAGAAAATACACTTAAGTATTTATGGGTTAAGGGGCATCACATCTGCAACTTACTAGCAAAACATTTCAGAAGAAACCTATGAAGAGAAGGATAAAGCAAATTGGCAAAATGTTAACATTTGAGGAATCTGGTGAAAGATAGCTGAGATTTCTTTTGTACTATTCTTGCAACTTTTTTTGTAAATCTGAAATTATGTCTAAATAAAAAGTTAAAAGCCAATACCAATAATTCTGGGTAGTGGAATTTTGTTCTTCTAGTTTCAGCAACTTTCAATTTTCAAAAAAAGGTAGAAAAGCTATTTAAGAAGAATCAAAAATCCCCTTTTGTGAATGGCAGTGATAGTGTTTGAAAAGTCAATCAAGAGATCTCTAAAATACAGACTGTTTTAGCAAGATGTTAAGATTGATAAATGATTCCTTTGCTTCCAAAGCTATAAAATAATGTAAATTTTCACTAAATCATGTGTAAATAAGAAAAGTAAACTGCTAATTTGTCTGTGGACAAAAACATAACTTGAAAATTCCAAATTCCTGTTAGGTCTGAAGTAGTTACCCAATGTTAACATGGACTAGTTTTACTTTAAAAATACATTCAGAAGGCCGGGCACGGTGGCTCACGCCTGTAATCCCAGCGCTTTGGGGCCTAGGCGGGCGGATCACGAGGTCAGGAAATCGAGACCATTCTGGCCAACATAGTGAAACCTCGCCTCTATTAAAACTACAAAAATTAGCCGGGCGTGGTGGCGCGCGCCTGTAGTCCCAGCTACTCAGGAGGCTGAGGCAGGCGAATCGCTTGAACCTGGGAGGCGGAGGTTGCAGTGGCCAAGATCGCGCCACCGCACTCCAGCCTGGGCAACACAGCAAGACTCCGTCTTAAAAAAAACAACAACACAAAACAAAAAAAAAAATTACAGAGTCAGGGTTGGACTCTTACATTTCATTGAAAATCCTTAAATAACAAATTATGTCAATATAGATTTAAATGCTTATGTGTGTTACCTGGATACTGCACGAAGGATTTTACATACGTTTTTCTCAATCCCCAACCCCAATAACGTATAGATACTACTATAAATTCATTTTACAGAGGAACAAAAACCAAAGCTTAAAAGAAAAAAGAAAAAGAAAAACCAAGGCTTTAAGTTAAATGAATTAGAATACTATAAGATTCACTTGAATCATGAGTAACTTATGACCAACTTAATCCCTTTCAAGTCCTCTGAATGTTTTTGGAAATAGCCTTTAAAAAAATTAAAAGCTCCAAAGACTATACAAAAATTATTTATACATTACTGCCCACGGCCTAATACACAGAGTACTTCACACTAATACAGCAGTAGGGTGCAACAGAGGTCCAATCTCTTCCCTTCTCTTGGCTCCACTCTGCCCAGTATCAAAATGGCATTTCCATGGCAATACAAATCCATATTACATAACCTCCGAAAAATCTTCATAGTCCTACGTCTATTCCGGAAAACCGTATTTAAAAGCAGGATTGACGACCAAAGAAAAATGAGAAAGTAACATTTTAATGTGGAGCTTAGTAATCGCCTAGAATGAATGGCGATATACAGTTTACTGCACCCTCCAATGCGCAAAAGAGGCAGGATGGCAAAATTCATGACTATCTTAAGCAAGCCAGGAGACTGCTAAAAAGGTAGGTATTAGCTCAATTCCAAGGGGGTGGGGCCCAGTTCACTTGGTGGCGGGCTCTAGATGGCCAAAGAGGAAGGGAAAGATATCCGTTGGTGGCCAGCACCTCGCTAAAAAGGGTGGGTAGAGGCTAACTTCAAGGCAACGGCTGGGGCGAGAGTGTCCCAGGCCCGAAAACCTACTGTGGGGCTCCGGTAAGTAAGGGGGCTCAGGGAAGGGCTCCCCTGGGGCAGATCGATCGTTTTGTATCTAACGTGGAGCCCAGGGGGGGCAGAGACGATTCACTCCGCGGCGGAACGTGGAAGGGAAAGGGAAAGTGGGCGACAATGCAAGACGGAAAGCTCAAGCCGTAGGTCTGGCCTCCACCAGCTACGGCTGGGCCCACAGCTTTTCCAGGCCTTAGAGAAGAGAAGAAACCAAGCCTCGTGCCGACCCCTCCCCCACCCCCGCCTCCGCGCTCCCCCTTACCTCTACCCCACCCTGGCGCTTTCGCAGCCACCCCGGCTTTTCCTCCTCCACCAGCTGAGGCACCCGGTCTCCCGGTTTCCACACGCGTTCAGAGACACAAACTCACCCGCCGCTGAGGAAACGGTACTGCCTTCGCGACCTTCTGGGATCCAGGTTACGAGTGCGCTCCACTGGTTCGAGATTTCTGCCCGTCGCTCGCCAGGGAGACTGAGTGCCCAAGCGCCTACTCGCACAGGCCGCAAATACAGCCGCGCTGCGCGGCGAGCTGATGGAGGTCTTCCTCTTGCCCGGCGTGCACTGCGGCCGGGGGCGGGGAGCGCGGAACCATAGAGAAGAACGTATATAGATCGTCTCCGCTGTTGGCTCTGACTCACCAAGCCGAGACGAATAACCATAGAGAAGCAGCGTCTAGCGGTTACTAGAAAGGCCCGAACTGTAAATTATGACCCACCATGTTTGATTGGAGCCGACTGAATCTTACGACTACGGGACGCCATCTTGAGGTCAAGGTTCCGGCTGGGCACGGCGCGAGGAGTGTTAGAGGCTTTCTCACTTTTCGTAGTTTTTCGGGGGGTGGAACCTTGCTTTGTGATTCCTTGAGGTTCGAGGAACTGATAACTGGGCGCGATCTGCAACCTTAGTGTTAAACCCCAAGTGCTGTTATAACAACTACTCGAGATCAACAAATAATTGGCAAAGGCTGTGGAGGTTTTTTGAAAAGCAAAAGCTTATGCGTAGTTGTAGGGCCAAAGAGGTGGCTAGAAGATGTTTGGAAAAACGTGAAAAGTCCTGTAATACTAGTTAACACAGCTTTCGTTCTGTAATCTAAACGTGCTAAAAGAACTTAGCTTAAGTTAATGGAAATGAATAAAATTAATCATAAATGATTACGTTATTCCAATTGTGGACCTTATAGGCAATATCTAGTTACACGCCTTTCTCAACTGCTTGCCTCTAGGAAGGCATAAAACGGATTCAGTATAAAGTTATTGCCTCCCTGAGTTCCTGGTGCTGTGTTAAGTGCTGGAAGTATGAAGGCAAATGGAAGTGAGATTTGTTCCTGTCCTGCAAGAACTGTGAGCCAGGTGAAATAGATGACAAACCATGACCAGCCTAATATAAAATTGAAACATACTACACACTTCCTGCCTGCCTCCCCTACTTAATTTTACTCTAAAGCACTCATAACCATCTATCATAACATACATTTTTCTTGCTGATTTTATGGTCCGTCACTACCCCCACTAGAATGTGAATGTAAGCAATGCATGGATTGCCTGTTTTGTGCAAGAACAGGTCCTGGTACATAGCAAGCGCTCAATAAATATTTGTTGAGTGACAGAAATGATTACCGGCCGGGCGCGGTGGCTCACGCCTGTAACCCCAGCACTTTGGGAGGCCGAGGCGGGTGGATCACCTGAGGTTAGGAGTTCGAGGCCACCCTGGCCAACATGGCAAAACCCCGTCTCTACTGAAAATACAAAAATAAACTAGGCGTGGTGGCAGGCGCCTGTAATCCCAGCTACTCGGGAGGCTGAGGCAGGAGAATCGCTTGAACCCTGGAGGCGGAGGTTGCAGTGAGCCGAGATGGCACCACTGCACTCCAGCCTGGGCAACAAAGTGAGACATTGTCTCAAAAAAAAAGAAAAGAAAAGAAAAGAAATGATTAACATATGATGAGTACCAATAGAACACAAAATTTAGTGGGAGCACAAATGAGAAAGTAGCACTAATTACTACCATCTGCAAAATTTACATCCTTCTATACTTCTGCTTGCTAGGTTTCCTTACCATTAACTAAAGTTAATAATACCTTTGGCCGTGCGTGATGACGAGTGCTTGTAGTCCCAGTTACTTGGGAGACGAAATTAACTTATGTATGTTTGTACTTTGTTCAGTAAAGTGCTATTCAAATTTATAGTTTTTATAGTGCTACTCTATAATGCTATTTATTGTTTGTAAATAAAATGAGTTTCTTTTTTTGTTTTGTTTTGTTTTTGTTTTTTGAGGAGGTGTCTCTGTTTCCCAGGCTAGAGTGCAGTGACGTGATCTTGGCTCACTGCAATCTCTGCCTCCCAGTTCAAGCGATTCTTGTGCCTCAGCCTCCCCAGTAGCTGGGATTATAGGCGTGGGTCACCATACCTGGCTAACTTTTGTATTTTTAGTAGAGATGGGGTTTCACCATGTTGGCCAGGTTGATCTCCAACTCCTGACCTCAGGTAATCCGCCCACCTGGACCTCCCAAAGTGCTGGGATCAAAGCTGTGAGCCACCATGGCCGCCCAAGAGTTTGTGCCTATTTACAACAAAAGGCATAAACAGAAATCTCAGATTAATCTGTGTCCCTTTTTATTATTAGAAACATTGTACATGAATTTGTGTTTACTGTGTAATAAAGGGAGCCCTCAGGCAACAATTTGCTAACTTTCCTACCTTAGACAATTTGTTGCTGATGTTCATGCAGCATCCATTCCCCTTGCCTTTAGTAATGAACCCTCCACATTTTTTAAAAGAAACCATCTTGGCCGGGTGCGGTGGCTCACGCCTGTAATCCCAGCACTTTGGGAGGCCGAGGCAGGCAGATCACGAGGTCAAGAGATCAAGACCAGCCTGACCAACATGGTGAAACCCCGCCTCTACTAAAAATACAAAAATTAGCTGGGCTTGGTGATGTGTGCCTGTAGTCCCAGTTACTTGGGAGGCCAAGGCAGGAGAATCGCTTGAACCTGGGAGGCAGAGGTTGCAGTGAGGCGAGATTGCGCCACTGCACTCCAGCCTGGGCAACAGAGCAAGACTCTGTCTAAAAAAAGCCAGGTGCAGTGGCTCACACCTGTAATCCCAGCACTTCAGGAGGCCGAGGCGGGTGGATCACCTGAGGTCAGGAGTTCGAGACCAGCCTGGCCAACATGGCGAAACCCTGTCTCTACTAAAAATAACAAAAATTAGCTGGGCGTGGTGGCAGGCACCTGTAATCCCAGCAGCTCAGGAGGCTGAGGCAGGAAAATCGCTTGAACCCAGCAGGCAGAGGTTGCAGTGAGCCGAGATCGCGCCATTGCACTCCAGCCTGGACAACAAGAGCAAAACTCGGTCTAAAAAAAAAAAAAAGAAAAGAAACCATCCTTCCACTACTCCAGATCCATGTACTTTGGATAGGAAGTCCCAACTCTAACCAGACCCCCTTAGGACACAGGAGTAAACTTACAACCTAATCAAAACCTGATGATTTAGTCACCCCTCCCTTTTTTTTTTTTTTTTTTTTTTGGTACTAGCCACTGTTTAAAGCATTTTGCAAATATCAACTCCTTTAATCCTCATAACAACCCCCTGAAGTAAGAACTATTGTGATACAAATGAAGAAACCAAGGCTTGCAAAAATTAACCTATCAAAGGCTACAAAAATAGTAAGTGAGCCAGTCTGGTTCCTGAGTTCGTGCTCTGGAACATTATACTGCTTCATCCTTTCAGGAATAATCCTAAAAAGAAGGGGAGGGGTCTCTATATTTTTCATTTAAATTGATTTTTTTTTTTCAATTTAAGCTTAGGAGGATTTAAGCTTAGAATAGATGGGGATGAGAATGAAATCACAGAAGAAAGCAGAAGTAAGACAGGGTGAGAGATTTTTGACAATATCAGTTGAGAAAATGGTTCATTCATTCATTTTGTTTGTTTTTTGGTTTGTTATTGCTGTTGTTATTTGAGATAGGGTCTCCCTTTGTTGTCCCGGCTAGAGTGCAGTGGCATGATCACGGCTCACTGCAGCCTCAACTTTCCAGGCTCCAGCGATTCTCCCACCTCAGCCTCCCAAAAGCCAGGATTACACTGAGCCCGGCTGGCTCAGCTACTCCTAAAGCCAGCTGTTCTAGGCTTATCAGTATGTAACCCAATACATTACTTTTCCGAAATCAGTTTGAGTTGAGTTTTCTATTCCTTACACAGAAAGAACTCTAAATGATACACTTATATACCACTTGTAGAGAACAAGCCAAGCCATTCATTTGCGATGCCAGTTATCCTCCTTCTATTTTTTTCTTACAAATCCTTGCTAAGGAAACTGTAGATAATTAATTTGGATATTACATTCTGTGTGCATTTGGACACCATTCTTTTTTTTTTCTTTTTTTTTTTTTTGAGATGGAGTTTTGTTCTCATTGCCCAGGCTGGAATGCAATGGCATGATCTCGGCTCACCGCAACTTCCGCCTCCCAGGTTCAAGCGATTCTCCTGGCATAGCTTCCCAAGTAGCTGGGATTACAGGCACATGCCACCATGCCGAGCTAATTTTGTATTTTTAGTAGAGGTGGGGTTTCTCCATGTTAGCCAGGCCGGTCTCCAACTCCCGACCTCAGGTGATCCACCTGCCACAGCCTCCCAAAATGCTGGGATTACAGGCATGAGCCACCACACCTGGCCTGGACCCTATTCTCATTGGCCACATCTGACCCAACTAAACAGCAGCATACCAGGAAAAATGTTGTTTAGCTGGAACTGAGCAGATCTTCTCAAAAATTGAAACTGGAGCCCAGCACAGTAGCACACACCTGTAGTCTCAATCATGAGGAGAGAGGATTGCTTGTGTGTGTGTGTGTGTTTGCGTGTGTATGCATGGCCATCATTATATATATATATATATATATATATATATATATATACACACACATAAATACATATACATACATAAATATATATATATATACAATGCCATTATATAGTATATAATGGCATAAAATATATAAATATAATACATATAATGCCATTATATATATAATATATGTGAATATATATAATATATATGTGTATATAGAGAGAAGAAGATAGAGAGAGGAAGCACATTAACACAGAATCTAGAGATCAAGGCTGGACTACCCAGCAAGGTGGAGTAACTGAAGTTTACCAAGTTAAGTCAGGACTCTGAAAGGATGTTAAAGTGCTCCCTTGTTAGTAATAGTCCTAGGCTCTTGACAGAAGCAAACATAGTTCCCATGGAGAAAAGAATCCCTAATTTAGGCTTCAGGATTCTGATATCAAATGTGAGCTTAAAATTTAAAAATGCAGGCCAGGCATGATGGCTCACGCCTGTAATCCCAGCGCTCTGGGAGGCTGAGGCGGGTGGATCACCTGAGATCAGGAGTTTGAAACCAGCCTGACCAACATGGAGAAACCCTGTCTCTACTAAAAATACAAAACTTAGCCAGGTGTGGTGGCACTCACCTGTAGTCCCAGCTATTTGGGAGGCTGAGGCAGGAGAATTGCCTGAACCCAGGAGGCGGAGGTTGCAGTGAGCCAAGATGGCACCACTGCACTCCACCCTGGGTGACACAGCGAGACTTAGTCAAAAAAAAAAATTGACCGGGCAATGTGGCTCACACCTGTAATTCCAGCACTTTGGGAGGCTGAGGCAAGCGGATCACCAGAGGTCAGGAGTTTGAGTCCAGCCTGACCAACATGGAGAAATCCCGTCTCTACTAAAAATACAAAAAATTAGCCAAGCATGGTGGTGCATGCCTATAATCCCAGCTACTCAGGAGGTTGAGGCAGGAGAATCGCTTGAACCTGGAAGGTGGAGGGTGTGGTGAGCCAAGATCACAGCATTGCACTCCAGCCTGGGTAACAAGAGTGAAACTCTGTCTTAAAAAAAAAAAAAAAAAGGCCAAGGGCCAGGCATGGCGGCTCACACCTCTAATCCCAGCACTTTGGGAGGCCGAGGAGGTGGATTGCTTTGAGCTCAGGAGTTCAAGACCAGCCTGGCCCACATGGTGAAACCCCATCTCCACTAAAGTACAAAAATTAGCCGTGCGTGGTGGCACATGCCTGTGGTCCCAGCTACTCAGGAGGCTGAGGCAGGAGAATCAGGTGAACTTGGGAGGTGGAGGTTGCAGTGAGCTGAAATCGCTCCACTGCACTCCAGCCTGGGCAACAGAGTGAGACTGTCTAAAAAAAAATTAAAGTGCCAAGAATATTAGGAATGAGCCACCATAAATGCAGCATCACACACACATACACACATGTGCACACACAAAACCAACAGACTTAAATTCCCAATTCAGATATTGAAATATTAGATATGGAATATAAAAAGACTACATAGGAAATCTTTAAAGGGATTTTTCTTAGGCTGAGGACAGTGGCTAACGCCTATAATCCCAGTGCATTGCGAGGCCAAGACAGGAGGATCACTTGAGTCTTGGAGTTTGAGACCAGTCTGGGCAACATAGGGAGACTCTGTTTCTAAAAAAATTTTTTTTGTAATTAGCCAGGCATGGTGGGGCACAGGTCAAGGCTGCATGAACCATGATCACACCATTGTACTTCACCCTGGGTGACAGAGTGAGACCCTGTCCCACTCTGTAGAAGAAATAAGTAAATAAATAAATAAATTAGTCATCAATAGATGTTGAATTTTATGGAATTCTTTTTTAGCAATTGTTGAAATGAACATATTAATTATCAATGATAAAACCTTAAAACTTTGAGAACATCTTATGAATTCATGATAGGGAAAGATTTCTTTTTTCTTTTTTCTTTTTTTTTTCTTTTTTTTGAGACAGAGTTTTACTTTGTCACCCAGGCCGGAGTGCAGTGGCGTGATCTTGGCTCACTGCAACCTCCGCCTTCCAAGTTCAAGGAATTCTCCTGCCTCAGCCTCCGGAGTAGCTGGGATTACAGGCGCCCACAACCACGCCCAGCTAATTTTCGTATTTTTAATAGAGACGGGGTTTCACCTTGTTGGCCAGGCTGGTCTCGAACTCCTGACCTCAAAAGTGATCTGCCCGCCTCGGCCTCTCAAAGTGCTAGGATTACAGCCATGAGCCACTGTGCCCCGACAGGAAGGATTTCTTAAGGAAGATACTATAAGCATAACCTAAACAGAAAAGATTGACAAATCCAACTATATTAAGAACTTTTGATATATTGAAAGTCACCATCAAAAAAAAATGTTGGCCGGGCGCGGTGGGTCACGCCTGTAATCCTAGCACTTTGGGAGGCCAAGGCGGGTGGATCACGAGGTCAGGAGATCAAGACCATCCTGGCTAACACAGTGAAACCCTGTCTCTACTAAAAATACAAAAAAATTAGCCAGACGTGGTGGCGGGCGCCTGTAGTCCCAGCTACTCGGGAGGCTGAGGCAGGAGAATGGCGTGAACCCGGGAGGTGGAGCTGGCAGTGAGCTGAGATCGTGCCACTGCACTCTAGCCTGGGTGACAGAGCAAGACTCTGTCTCAAAAAAAAAAAAAAAAAAAAAAAATCTTGAATATGGAACATGAGCACAGGGGAAGGAAATAGCATTGCACTTATAAGCACTGCACTTTAAGTAGAAAATACAATGTCTTAAGTAAAACTGTATTTAATATTGGCAAAAAAGACCAGGCACAGTGGCTCACGCCTGTAATCCCAGCACTTTGGGAGGCCGAGGCGGGCGGATCACAAGGTTAGGAGATCGAGACCATCCTGGCTAACACGGTAAAACCCCGTCTCTACTAAAAAATACAAAAAATTAGCCGGGCGTGGTGGCGGGCGCCTGTAGTCCCAGCTACTCGGGAGGCTGAGGCAGGAGAATGCTGTGAACCCGGGAGGCGGAGCTTGCAGTGAGCTGAGATTGCGCCACTGCACTCCAGCCTGGGCGACAGAGCGAGACTCCATCTCAAAAAAAAAAAAAAAAATACAAACATTAGC
This sequence comes from Homo sapiens, assembly GCF_000001405.40. Classification (NCBI taxonomy): domain Eukaryota; kingdom Metazoa; phylum Chordata; class Mammalia; order Primates; family Hominidae; genus Homo; species Homo sapiens. The sequence goes on along the minus strand of NC_000014.9, from coordinate 73,051,141 downwards.
CGGGCATGGTAGCATGTGCCTGTAATCCCAGCTGCTTGGGAGGCTGAGACAGGAGAATCGCTTGAACCTGAGAGGTGGAGGTTGCAGTGAGCCGAGATCGCGCCCCTGCACTCCAGCCTGGGCAACAGGGCAAGACTCCATCAAGATGAAAAGAAATGAAATGACATGACATGACATGACATGAAATGAAATGCAAAAAAATCTGTATATAACACCATTAATACAAAGCTCCAAACTTGGCATAAGTAATAATCTATTGTGTAGAAAAACATATACATGGGATAAGACTATATATTTTTTAAAAACCAAAGAAATAGTTAATAGAAAATTCAAGATAGTCTGGGCACGGTGGCTCATGCCTGTAATCCCAGCACTTTGGGAGGCCGAGGCAGGTGGATCATGAGGTCAGGAGTTCGAAACTAGCCTAACTAACATGGTGAAACCCCATCTCTACTAAAAATACAAAAATAGCTGGGCGTGGTGGCAGGCGCCTGTAATCACAGCTACTCAAGAAGCTGAGGCAGGAGAATCGCTTGAACCCAGGAGGTGGAGGTTGCAGTGAGCCGACATCGCGCCACTGCACTCCAACTTGGGCAAGAGAGCCAGACTCCGTCTCAAAAACAAAACAAAACAAAACAAAACAAAACAAAACAAAACAAAATCTAAGATAGTGTTTCCCTCTTGGAGGGAGAAAATGTAATGAGACTGAAAAAGCACACACGGGTAGCCAGTATGATTTCTGTAATGTTCTAGTTCATAAGCTTAGTGATGGATTGACTGATTTTATTATTATCTTCATAATTTACATTAAATTTTTTAATATACCAAATATTACACAATTTTTCTTTGCTTTCTTTCTGTTTTTTTTTTTTTTTGTTTTTTTGTTTTTTTTTTTTTTTTTGAGACAGAGTCTTGCTCTGTCACCCAGGCTGGAGTGCAGTGGTACAATCTTGGCTCACTGCAACCTCTACCTCCTGGGTTCAAGCAATTCTCCTGCCTCAGCCTTCTGAGTAGCTGGGATTACAGGGCTCCTGTAACCATGCCTGGCTAATTTTTGTATTTTAGGTAGAGACAGGGTTTCACCTTGTTGGCCAGGCTGGTTGCTGGTCTCAAACTCCTGACCCCAAGTGATCCACCCACCATCTCAGCCTCCCAAAATGCTGGGATAACAGACATAAGCCACTGTGCCTGGCCTTTCTTTTTTTCTTTTTTTAATTTTGAATCTTTAATTTCCGTTTTCACGTATTTTCTTCTTGCTTCCAAAAGGAAAGGAGTGTGTAGCTCTGTCGCCTGTACATCATCCATGGCCCCTGGGTTGGGGTGGAGTATTTTTATTTTTATTTTTATTTTTTTTGAGACAGGGTCTCACTTTGTCATCCAGGCTGGAATGCAGTGGTGTAATCACAGCTTACTGCAACCTCGACCTCCTGAACTCCAGAGATCCTCCTTCCTCAGCTTCCAAAACAGCTGGGACTACAGGCACGTGCCACCACACCCAGCTAGTTTTTTCTAGTTTTTATAGAGACAGTGTCTCCCTATGTTGTTCAGGCTGGTCTCAAACTCTTGGGCTCAAGCGATCCACACACCTCAGCCTCTCAAAGTCCTAGGATTACTGAGGATTACTGGCGTACTGGTGTGAGCCACTGCACCTAGCCTTTGCTTTTTTTTTTTTTTTTTTTTTTTTGAGAGGGAGTCTTGCTCTATCCCCCAGGCTGGAGTGCAGTGAGCCACTCAGCTCACTGCAACCTCTGCCTCCCAGGTTCAAGTTATTCTCCTACCTCAGCCTCCCAAGTTCCTGGGATTACAGGCACATGCCACCATGCCCAGCTAATTTTTGTATTCTTTTTTTTTTTTTTTTTTTTTTTTTTTAGTAGAAATATGGTTTTCACTATGCTCGCCAGGCTGGTCTCAAATCCCTGACCTCAAGTGATCTGCCTGCTCCAATCTCCCAAAGTGCTGGGATTACAGGCATGAGCCACCATGCCTGGCCTGCTTTTTAAAAATTTTGTCAGTATATAGAACTCTACTTCATTTTAAAAACTGATATTATTTTTAAAACTCCTACATTGTATTCCTAATATGGTTGTGTCATAGTGTATCATCTAGGAGGCTTTCAGAAGCAAGTACCAGACAATCCAACTCAAACTAGCTTAAACAATAAAGAATGGGCCGGGCACGGTGGGTCACATCTGTAATCCCAGCACTTTGGGAGGCCAAGGTGGGCAGATCACCTGAGGTCAGGAGTTCAAGACCAGCCTGGCCAACATGGGGAAACCCCATCTCTACTAAAAATAAAAAAAAAATTAGCCTGGCGTGGTGGTGGGCACCTGTAATCCCAGCTACTTGGGAGGCTGAGACAGGAGAATGGCTTGAACCCAGGTGGCGGAGGTTGCAGTGAGTGGAGACCGCGTCATTGCACTCCAGCCTGGGCAAGAAGAGTGAAACTCCATCTCAAGAAAATAAACAAACAGGGTGCGGTGGCTCACACCTGTAATCCCAGCACTTTGGGAGGCCAAGGCGGGCGGATCATGAGGTCAGGAGATCGAGACCATCCTGGCTAACATGGTGAAACCCTGTCTCCACTAAAAAATACAAAAAAATTAGCCGGGCGTGGTGGCGGGCGCCTGTAGTCTCAGCTGCTTTGGAGGCTGAGGCAAGAGAATGGCGTGAACCCAGGAGGCAGAGCTTGCAGTGAGCCGAGATCGTGCCACTGCACTCCAGCCTGGGCGACAGAGCGAGACTGTCTCAAAAAAATTAAAATAAAATAAAATAAAAATAAAAAAGAGAAAACAAACAAAACCAATAAGGAAATGTATTGGCTTGTCCAGCAGAAAGACTAGATAGGCTGCTCTTCAGGGTTGGGTCATCCACAGACTGAATAATTTCATCAAGAATGAGGTTCTTCCTGTCTCTCTGTTTTCCTATCTCTGCTCTACCATCTACAGTGTGGGCCTCATTCTAAGTCTGACTTCCCTAATGCTCAGAAGATGGCTATGTTGAGTCCACAAACTTTTGAATTCAGAAACAAGATTGAGTTGATTTCAGAAGCTCTCCCAGAAGATCAAGAAAGAACTTTCCAGGATCTCCAGGAACCTGAATTGAGTCATACGCCAAAGTGAGTTTCATGCTCTTTGGCAAAACAATCATTGGCAGGATAGATGTAAGTACACTTAGGCAATTATACCTATCCTTTGAGCCACTGGTGAGGTCAGCTTTCTCTGGGACTTTGGGCCTCAGAGGAAAGGTGGATATTTGCATAAAATTATAATTTTGTTAGAAAAGAGGAAGAAGGAAATGGATACTGAGAAGGCAACTATCATCCACTATACAATTTAATCATTCCCTTAATTATGGACATTTGTTTCCAATTTGTAGACATGTAAACAATCCTGCAATTACCATCTTTGTATATGCTTTCTTCTAAATTTGTGCGTGTAATTCTCTACCGCTGATACCTACAAGTGGAAACTCAAGGTAGAAGGCTATGCTAATTTTGAAATTTAAATATATATTACCAAATAGCTCTGCCAAAGAGGTATACCAATTATATTTCTTTTTTTCTTTCTTTTTCTGAGACAGGGTCTTGATCTGTCACTTAGGCTGGAGTGCAGTGGCATAATCACAGCTCACTGCAGCCTCAACCTCCCTGGCTCAAGTGATCCTCCCAAGTAGTTAGGACCTTAACATTTTTTTGTAGAGACAAGTCCTCACTATGTCGACCAGGCTGGTCTCAAACTCCAGTGCTCAAGTGATCTTTCCCGCTTGGCCTCTCAAAGTTCTGGGATTACGAGTGTAAGCTACCACATTTGGCCCCCAGTTATATTTACTTTTATTTATTTATTTGAGATAGGGTCTTGCACTGCCACTCAGGACATTTTCTCTCCCCCAAATAGAAACTCCACAAATATGAAGCAGTCATTCCTTATTATCTACTCCCACAGTCCTGAGCAACCACAAACCCACTTTCCATCTCTATGAATTTGCCTATTCTGGGTATCATAGTATATGTGGCCTTTTGTATCTGGCTTCTTTTACTTAGCATAATACTGTTAAGGTTCATCCATGGTGTAGCATTTATCACTACCTCATTCCTTTTTTTTTGAAATGGAGTTTTGCTATCATTGTCCAGGCTGGAGTGCAATGGCGCAATCTAGGTTCACCTCAACCTCTGCCTCCCGGGTTCAAGCAATTCTCCTGCCTCAGCCTCCCAGGTAGCTGAGATTATAAGCATGAGCCACCACGCCCAGCTAATTTTGTATTTTTAGTAGAGACAGGGTTTTTCCATGTTGGTCAGGCTGGTCTCGAACTCCCGACCTCAGCTGATTCCCCCACCTCTGGCCACCACACTGGCCGACTTCATCTTAAAACAAACAAACAAACAAACAAACAAACAGCCAGGTGCGGTGGCTCACACCTGTAATCCCAGCACTTTGGGAAGCTGAGGCGGATGGATCACGAGGTCAGGAGTTCAAGACCATCCTGGCCAACATGGTGAAACCCCATCTCTAATAAAAATGCAAAAATTAGCCAGGTGTGGTGGCAGATGCCTGTAATCCCAGCTGCTTGGGAGGCTGAGGCAGGAGAATCGCTTGAACCCGGGAGGCGGAGGTTGCAGTGAGCCGAGATTGTACCACTGCACTCCAGCCTGGGTGACAAGGGTGAAACTCCGTCTCAAAAAAAAAAAGAAAAAGAAAGAGAGAAAGAAAAGAAAGAAAGAAAGAAAAAGAAAAAAAAAGAAAGAAAGAGAAAAAATAAATGGTGGTGGGGGGGAATCTTGCTAGATTACCCAAGCTGTTCTTGAACTCCTGGGTTCCAGTGATCTCTCCTCAGCCTCCTAAGTAATGGAATTACAGGCACAAGCCACCATACCTAGCTCCAGAGCTTTTGATGTTGATAAAATCTAATTTATCTTTTTTTTTTTTGAGACAAAGTCTTACTCTTGTCCCCAGGCTGGAATGCAATGGCGTGATCTTGGCTCACTGCAACCTCTGCCTCCCGGGTTCAAGTGATTCTCCTGCCTCAGCTTCCCAAGTAGCTGAGATTACAGGCACCTGCCACCATGCCCGGCTAATTTTTGTATTTTTAGTACAGATGGGGTTTCACCATGTTGGCCAGGCTGGTCTTGAACTCCTGACCTCAGGTGATCTGCCCACCTCGGCCTCCCAAAGTGCTGGGATTATAGGCATGAGCCACTGTGCCCAGCCCAATTTATCTATTTTTTTAATTGCTTGTACTTTTGGTATCATATTTAAGAAACTGTTGTCTAATCCAAAGTCACAAGGATTTATATGTTTTCTAACAGTATTATACTTTTAGCTCTTACATGAGATATTAGGTGCATTTGAATTAATTTTTGTGTATGTTGTAAACAGGGGTCCAAATTCATTCTGTGTATGTAAATATCAAATTATCCCAATATCATTTGTTGAAAAGACTATTCTTTCCTCACTGAAAGGCTGTGGCACCATTATAAAAAATTGATTGGCCAGGCGCAGTGGCTCACGCCTGTAATCCCAGCACTTTGGGAGGCCAAGGTGGGCAGATCACCTGAGGTCAGGAGTTTAAGACCAGTCTGGCCAACATGGTGAAACCCTGTTTCTACTGAAAATATAAAACTTAGCTGGCCATGGTGGCACACATCTGTAATCCTAGCTACTTAGGAGGCTGGGGCAGGAAAATTGCTTGAACCCAGGAGGCAGAAGTTGCAGTGAGCCGAGATGGCGCTGCTGCACTCCAGCCTGGGCAACAGAGTGGCACTCCATCTCAAAAAAAAAAAAAAAAAAAAAAATCACTGACCCCATCATCCCAGCACTTTGGAAGGCCGACTCCAGAGGATTTTTTGAGCCCCTGAGTTTGAGACCAGTCTAGCAAGATGGCAAGACTGCATCAAGAGGGCAAGACCTCATCTTTACAAAAATAAAATTAGCTGGGAATGATGGCACGTGACTGTGATCCCAGTTAATTGAGTGCCTCCTTCCCTCAGGAGGCTGAGGTGGAGAATCCTTTAAGCCCAGGCATTCGAGGCTGCAGTGAGCTGTGATCATATCACTGCACTGCAGCCTGGGCAACAGAGAAAGATCTTGGGTTTTTGTTGTTGTTGTTTGTTTTTTTAGACAGAGTCTTGCTCTGTCGCCGAGGCTGGAGTGCAGTGGAAAGATCTTGGCTCACCGCAAACTCTGCCTCCTGGGTTCAATCGATTTTCATGCCTCAGCCTCCCAAGTAGCTGGGATTACAGGTGTGTGCCCCCATACCCAGCAAATTTTTTCTATTTTTAATAGAGATGGGGGTTTCACTGTGTTAGCCAGCTGGTCTCAAACTCCTGGCCTCCGGTGATCCACCCGGCTGGGCCTTCCAAAGTGCTGGTATTACAGGTGTGAGCCACCTTTCCAGGCCAGCAGTTAGAATGTGGGTAAGAATTTCACTGAATGTGAAGATCAATCTGAGAAGTACTGCCATCATAGCAATATTAAGTCTTTCAATCAATGAAGACAAAATGTCTTCCTATTTATGTAGATCTTCTTTATTTTTTTCAGTAATGTTTTGTAGTTTTCAATGCATAAGTCTTACATTTCCTTGTATAAACTTATTCTTAGGCCAGGCGCGGTGGTCACACCTGTAATCACAGCACTTTGGGAGGCCGAGGTGAGCAGATCACAAGGTCAGGAGTTCGAGACCAGCTTGGCCAACATGGTGAAACCCTGTCTCTAATAAAAATTCAAAAAATTAGCCGGGTGTGGTTGTGCGTGTCTGTAATCCCAGCTATTCAGGAGGCCAAGGCAGGAGAATCACTTGAACCCAGGAGGCAGAAGTTGCAGTGAGCCAAGATCATGCCATTGCACTCCAGCCTGTCAATAGAGCAAGCTCTGTCTCAAAAAAAAAAAAAAAAAAAACTTATTCCTAAGAGGAGGCGGTGACCCCTCTGGACCCAGATTTCACTATCTTTGTGTGTCTATTATTTTGACGCTACTGTAAATGGAATTCTTTTCTTTTTTTTTCTATTAATTTATTTGTTTAGAGATAGAGTCTCCCTCTGTCACCCAGGCTGGAGTGCAGTGGCTCGATCTCGGTTAACTGCAACCTCCGCTTCCCAAGTTCAAGTGATTCTCCTGCCTCAGCCTCCTGAGTAGCTGGTACTATAGTCGCAGACCACCATGCCTGGCTGATTTTTTTTTTTTTTTTTTGAGACGGAGTCCTGCTCTGTCGCCCAGGCTGAAGTGCAGGGTAAGATCTCGGCTAACTGCAACCTCTGCCTCCCAGGTTCAAGCTATTCTCCTGCCTCAGCCTCCCTAGTAGTTGGGACTACAGGCATGTGCCACCACACCTGGCTAATTTTTATATTTTGAGTAGAGATGAGGTTTCACCATGTTGGCCAGGCTGGTCTCGAACTCTTGACCTCAAGTGATCTGCTCACCTCGGGCTCTGAAAGTGCTGGGTTTACAGGCGTGAGCCACCACACCCAGCCAGCTGATTTTTATTTATTTATTTATTTATTTATTTATTGAGATGGAGTCTCCGTCTGTCGCCAGGCTGGAGTGCAGTGGCACGATCTCGGCTCACTGCAATCTCCACCTCCCCGGTTCAAGCGATTCTCCTGCCCCTGTGTCCCAAGTGGCTGGGACTACAGCTGTGCACTACTACACCCAGCTAATTTTTGTATTTTTAGTAGAGATGGGGCTTCACCATGTTGGCCAGGATGGTCTGGATCTCTTGACCTCATGATCCACCCGCCTCAGCCTCCCAAAGTGTTGGGGATACAGGTGTGAGCCACTGCGCCCTGCCTGATTGTTATTTTTATTTTCATTTTTGAGATGGAGTCTCCCTCTGTCGGCCAGGCTGGAATGCAGTGGTGCAATCTCGGTTTACTGCAACTTCCTACTCTGAGGTTCAAGTGATTCTCCTGCCTCAGCTTCCCTAGTAGCTGGGATTATAGGCGTGTGCCACCACGCCTGGCTAATTTGTTGTTGTTGTTGTTGAGACGGAGTCTTGCTCTGTCGCCCAGGCTGGAGTGCATTGGTGCGATCTTGGCTCACTGCAACCTCTGCTTCCCAGGTTCGAGTGATTCTCCTGCCTCAGCCTCCCAAGTAGCTGGGATTACAGGCATGTGCCACCATGCCCAGCTAATTTTTGTATTTTTAGTAGAGATGGGATTTCACCATGTTGGCCAGGCTGGTCTCGAACTCCTGACCTCAGGTGACCACCCGCCTTGGCCTCCCAAAGTGCTGGGATTACAGGTATCAGCCACCGTGCCTGGCTTTTTTTTTTTTTTTGTATTTTTAGTAGAAACGGGGTTTTACCTTGTTGGCCAGGTTGGTCTTGAACTCCTAACCTCAAATGATCTGCCTGCCTTGGCCTCTCAAAGTGCTGGGATTACAGGTGTAAGCCACCACACCTGGCCTGTTTTCTTTTTCTTTTATTTTAAGAGACAGGGTCTTTACTATATTGCCCAGTCTGGTCTTGAACTCCTGGATTCAAGAAATCCTCCTACCTTGGCCTCCCAAAGTGCTGGGATTACAGGCATGAGCCACCGTGCCCGGCCCTTTGTTTTTTATTTGAGATGGCATCTTGCTCTGTTGCCCAGGCTGAAATGCAGTGGTGCAATTTTGGCTCACTGCAACCTCCGCCTCCTGGGTTCAAGCGATTCTTCTGCCTTAGCCTCCCCAGTAGCTTGGACTACAGGTGTGTGCCACCACACCTGGCTAATTTTTGTATTTCTTTCTTTTTTTTTTTTTTTTTGAGATGGAGTCTCGCTCTGTCACCCAGGCTGGAGTGCAGTGGTGCAATCTCGGCTCACTGCAAGCTCTGCCTCCCTGGTTCAAGCGATTCTCCTGCCTCAGCCTCTAGAGTAGCTGGGATTACAGGTGCACGCCACCATACTCAGCTAATTTTTGTATGTTTTGTAGAGACGGGGTTTCAGCATGTTGGCCAGGCTGCTCTCAAACTCCTGACCTCATGATTCACAAGCCTCAGCCTCCCAAAGTGCTGGGATTAAGTGATGAGCCACTGCAGCTGGTGTTTTTTTTTGTTTGTTTTTTTGTTTTTTTTGTGTTTTTTTTTTAAGACAGAGTCTTACTCGGTGCGCAGGCTGCAGTGCACTGATGGGATCTCAGTTCACTGTGACCTTCACCTTCCAGGTTCATGTGATTCTCCTGTCTCAGCCTCTGGAGTAGCTGGGACTTCAGGCACATGCCACCACACCTGCCTAATTTTTTGTATTTTTAGGGGAGACAGGGTTTCACCATGTTGGCCAGGCTGATCTGGAACTCCTGACCTCAAGTGTTCCACTGCCTGGCCTCCCAAAGTGCTGGGATTACAGGCGTGAGCCACCGCACCTTGCCTCTTTTTTTTTTGTTTGTGTTATTTTGTTTTGAGACGGAGTCTGTCTATGTTGCCAAGGCTGGTCTAGAACTCCTAGGCTCAAGTGATCCCACCAGAGAGATCAAAACAAACAACTGAAATTCTTTGAGTATAATGTCTGTTCTGCTCCCTCTGGTACTGGGCACTCTTACTGTGAACACGGTGCATCTTCAAGGTCTCTTTTGTGCTGAGGAACAGGGGAAGGTTCAGCATAAGGTACAATGTCACAAAGCTCTTCTATGAAGATTCAGTTGTTTTTTTTTAACTAAGCATTTCCTCAGTTGTGGCAAGGTTCCGATGAGTAGCCAGAGTTCTGAGAATGATCATTCTGTGAGTTTCTGTCAGTTTATCCATGGTCCTTGTGGAGGGACAGACCAGGTGTTCCTTATGCCACCATTTTCACCAGCTTCCCCTGTTTCTTCTCCTGTTTCCCATCCCAGTAAGTTCTTTATCATATCCAATTGCTGAGATGTTATCCTGGGCATTATTCCTTATTTTCTCTCTCCTCTACAAACCCTTACACGCCTGCCTATTGCCCTCAGTATAAAATGCAAACCTGACAATCTAATTTACAAGCTCCATCACAGGCCAGGTGTTGCCCAGGCTAGAGCGCAGCCTCAGTTCACTGCAACCTTTGCCTCCTGGGTTCAAGCAATTCTCCTGACTCAGCCTCCTGAGTAGCCGGGATTACAGCCACGTGCTACCGCACCTGGCTAATTTTTGTATTTTTAGTAGAGATGGGGTTTTGCCATATTCCAGGCTAGTCTTGAACTCTTGGCCTCATATGATCTGCCCGCCCCAGCCTCCTAAAGTGCTGGGATTACAGGCGTGAGCCACCGCACCTGGCCCCCACCATTTAAAAATGTAAAAACCACTGGGCACAGTGGCATGTTCCTATAGTCCCAGCTACTCGGGAGGCTGAGGCAGGAGGATTGCTTGAGCCCAGGAGTTCTGGGCTGCAGCACATGATGCCAAATGGTTGTCTGCCCTAAGTTCAGCATCAATATGGCGACCTCCCAGGAGCGGGAAACCACCAGGTTGCCTAAGCGGGGGTGAACCAGCCCAAGTCGGAAACAGCAGATGAAAATTCCAGTGTTGCTCAGTAGTGGGATCACACCTGTGAATAGCCACTGCACTACAGCCTGGGCAACATGGTGAGACCTGTCTCTTAAAATTAATAAATAATGTACAAACCTTTTTTTTTCTTTTTGAAATAGAGTCTGCTTTGTGGCCCTGGCTGGAGTGCAGTGATTGGTTCAGTCTTGGTTCACTGCAACCTCCGTCTCCCAAATTCAAATGATTCTTGTGCCTCAGCCTCCTGAGTCGCTGGGACTACAGGCGCGTGCCACCACACCCGACACATTTTTGTATTTTTAATAGGAATGAGGTTTCACTGTGTTAGCCAGGCTGGTCTCGAACTCCTGGCCTCAAGTGATCCACCTGCCTCAGCCTCCCAAAGTGCTGGGATTACAGGCCTGAGCCACCGTGCCCAGCCTAAAATCATTCTTACCTTGTGGGCCATACAATAACAGGTGGCGTGTAGTTTGGACATCCTTCATGTAGATAAAATAATCTCTGCAATTCCTTCCTGTTCCAAAATGCCATAATTACTATATGTAAATCAGCCTCTCCCCCAAATCTATCCAAACGTATTTATCCTACAGCCTTTCCCTAAGGGCTGTTTTCTGTTTTTTCCAGGTAAGAGGTAAATACAGTAATATGATAAATGAATCCTTTTTGGATGCATTTTAGCAGGAATCCTGGAGAATTTGTCCCTGATATCCCTTTAAGGGATTCATTTTGAGGTCAGTTTTTTCATGCCAAGGGAAAGACTCTTTGAGGCTCTTCAGCTCATCTCTAATTTCTCTGGTTCTAGGCCTTTCCACTGTTGGCTGCACATTAGAATCATCTGGGAACCTTTGGGGGAAAAGCAAAAGCAAAACAGAATACTGATACCAGGCCTAATAAATCAGATTCTCCAGGAGCAGAGACTGGACATCAATATTTTTTTAAAAACCCAAAAACCTTCAGATGATGTTAAAGCAGAATCAGGGTTGAATACCAATGTGTTTTTCAATTACTTAGAGGCTCCAGTTGTATTTACAAATTTTGGTGTGCATAATAGTCACTGTGGTACTTGTTAAACAAGGAGATTTTCCTCGCTCCACCCCTAGAGATTATAATTCAGTAGATCTGAGTGGGGTTTAGGAATCTACATTTTTAAGTGGCCCAGGTAACTTTTATTTGGGTGCTATGAAGCCATCACTGTAAGAGACACTACCATAGGTATTATGAATATATAAGTGAGTTGGAGATTGGTGAGCCTGTGTTTTCTCATTGTTTGTTTTTTTTTTTTTTGAGATGGAGTTTCACTCTTGTTGCCTAGGCTGGAGTGCAATGGCACCATCTCGGCTCACCATAACCTCTGCCTCCCGGGTTCAAGTGATTCTCCTGCCTCAGCCTCCCGAGTAGCTGGGATTACAGGCATGTGCCACCATGCCCGGCTAATTTTGTATCTTTAGTAGAGATGGGGTTTCTCCATGTTGGTCCTGCTGGTTGCGAACTCCTGACCTCAGGTGATTCGCCTGCCTAGGCCTCCCAAAGTTCTGGGATTACAGAGCCCTCACGCCCGGCCTTATTGTTTGATTTTTATGGTGATCTGTTAAACATGATTAATGTTCTACACAAGTTAATCTATGCCAATAGAAGTGAAAAGACTGGGCCGGGCGTGGTGGCTCATGGCTGTAATCCCAGCACTTTGGGAGGCCAAGGCGGGTGGATCATCTGCTGGTCAGGAGTTCGAGACCAGCCTGGCCAACATGGTAGAACCCTGTCTCTACTAAAAATACAAAAATTAGCTGGGCATGGTGGCAGGCGCCTATAATCCCAGCTAGTTGGGAGGCTGAGATAGGTTCAAGAATCCAGGGTTCAAGCAATTCTGCCTCAGCCTCCCGAATAGCTGGGATTACAGGCGTGCGCCACTACACCCAGCTAATTTTTGTATTTTTAGTAGAGATGGGGTTTTGCCATGTTGACCAGGCTGGTCTGGAACTCCTGACCTGAAGTGATCTGCCTGCCTCGGCCTCCCAAAGTGCCGGGATTACAGGCATGAGCCACCGAGCCCAGCCATCTTTATTATTTTCTTCTCTTTGCTTATTTTGGATGACTTGAGCCCAGGAGTTTGGGCAACCTAACAAGACTCCCATCTCCACAAAAAATTTTAAAAATTAGCTGGGTATAGTGGCACACACCTATAGTCTCAGCTACTTGAGAAACCGAGGCAGGTGGATTGCTTGGGCCCAGGAGGTCAAGGCTGCTATAAGCCATGATTGCATTGCTGCAGTCTATTAAGTTTCAACATGAATTTTCGAGGGGACACAAACATTCAAACTATAGCAGGTATTTTCTGACATTCTTCATTCTTTTGTGTGAATCTAATTGCCCTCTGATATCATTTTCTTTCTGCTTAAATAATGCTCTTTTTTTTTTTTTTTTTTTTTTTTTTTTGAGATGGAGTCTCACTCTTGTCGCCCAGGCTGGAGTGCAATGGTGCAATCTCGGCTCACTGCAACCTCCGCCTCCTGGGTTCAAGTGATTCTCCTGCCTCAGCCTCCCATGTGGCTGGGATTACAGGTACCCAACACCACGTCTGGCTAATTTTTGTATTTTTGTAGAGAAGGGGTTTCACCATGTTGGCCAGGCTGGTCTCAAACACCTGACCTCAGGTGATCCACCCACCTCGGCCTCCCAAAGTGCTGGGATTACAGGCGTGAGCCACCACGCCCGGCCTAAATAACATTCTTTATCATTTCCTTATAGTGCAGGTCTGCTTATGATTAATTTCCTATGATTTGGTTTGTTTGAAATGTCTTCATTTTGCCTTCATTTACATATTTGATTATTACAATAGCTGAGAATCTCAGCGGTAAAAATATATTATTTATTATTGATTCTTATTCATGGAGACTTGTTTTTGTGAGTTCATGCTTAGCTTAAGTTTATTTGTGACAAACTTAGAAGTTTGAGTTGAGGAGGTTTCTTCCAAAGAAGGTTTGCAATTTATATTTGCTGTGTGCCAAAGTGCAGTACCACCTTGGGGTCACTAGAATTCAACACTCAGACCCTAAAAAATGAGAGTAAAACTATGTTCACAAATTCTCAGAAGACACTTTTTTTTCCTTTTTATTGAGATGGAGTTTTGCTCTTGTTGCCCAGGCTGGAGTGCAAAGGTGCAATTTTGGCTCACTGAAACCTCTGCCTCTCAGGTTCACGAGATTCTCCTGCCTCAGCCTCTCGAGTAGCTGGGATTACAGGCATGCACCACCATGCCTGGCTAATTTTTGTATTGTTAGTGGAGATGGGGGTTTCACCATGTTGGACAGGCTGGTCTTCAACTCCTGACCTCAAGTGATCCATCTGCTTCAGCCTCCCAAAGTGCTGGGATTACAGGTGTGAGCCATTGCACCTGGCATTTTATTTTTTTTTTAGTGTTTTCCTCTGTTGCCCTGGCTGGAGTGCAGTGACTCAATCTTGGCTCATTGCAAGCACCGCCTTCTGGGCTAAAGTGATTCTCGTACGTCAGCCTCCTGAGTAGCTGAGATTGATTACAGGAATGCACCACCATGCCCGGCTAATTTTTGTAGTTTTAGTAAAGGCAGGATTTTACCATGTTGGCCAGGCTGGTCTTGAACTCCTGGCTTCAAGTGATCTGTCTACCTTGGGCTCCCAAAGTGCTGGGATTACAGATGTGAGCCACTGCGCCTGGCCTGCACCCAGTTAATTTTTAAATTTTTTGTAGAGATGGGGTCTCACACTTTTGCCCAGGCCGATCTTGAACTCCTGGGCTCATGCAATCCTCCTGCCTAGATCTCCTACATTGCTGCGCTTACAGGTGTGAGCCACTAGGCCTGGCTCCTTTTTTTTTGAGATGAAGTTTCGCTCTAGTTGCCCAGGCTGGAGTGCAATGGCATGATCTCAGCTGACTTCAACCTCTGCCTCCTGGGTTAAAGCGATTCTCCTGCCTCAGCTTCCTGAGTAGCTAGGATTACAGGCACCTGCCACCATGCCTGGCTAATTTTTTGCATCTTTAGTAGAGATGGGGTTTCACCATGTTGGCCAGGCTGGTCTCGAACTCCTGACCTCAGGTGATCCACCTGCCTCGGCCTCCCAAAGTGCTGGGATTACAGGCCAAGACTGCGCCACTGCACTCCAGCCTGGGCAATAGCGTGAGACTCTGTCTTAAAAAAAAAAAAAAAAAAAATTAGGTGCCTTTCTCCAAGCTGAGAAATGGAGAAGGAAGCAAAGTGTTGAGTGTATCATTTGAGTTCCAGATTCAGCTTTGGCTAAAACTGTCATATCTCAGATTGTTCAGTTATGTAAGCCAATACATTTCTTTTATTGATTAAGGCAGTTTGATTTGTAATTTGTCTTAATTAATGGAAGAAAGATGTTGCTCATAGTTCAGCAGGACTTAAATGTAATTTGATGAAATATGTTATCATACTTATTTATTTATTTATTTATTTATTTTGAGACAGAGTTCACTCTTGTTGCCCAGGCTGGAGTGCAACGGCATGATCTCGGCTCACCGCAACCTCCGCCTCCCGGGTTCAAGCGCTTCTCCTGCCTCAGCCTCCCGAGTAGCTGGGATTACAGGCATGCGCCACCATGCCCAGCTAATTTTGTATTTTTAGTAGAGACAGGGTTTCTCCATATTGGTCAGGCTGGTCTCGAACTCCCGACCTCAGGTGATCCGCCCGCCTCGGCCTCCCAAAGTGCTGGGATTACAGGCCTGAGCCACCGTGCCCGGCCATACTTATTTACTTATTTATTGAAACAGGGTCTTGCTCTGTCACCCAGGCTGGAGTGCAGTGGCGCGATCTCGGCTCACTGCAACCTCCGCCTTCTGGGTTCAAGCAATTCTCCTACCTCAGCCTCCCAAGTAGCTGGTACTATAGGCATACGCCACCACTCCAGGCTAATTTTTTGTATTTTTAGTAGAGACGGGGTTTCACCATATTGGCCACGCTGGTCTCGAACCCCTGACCTCAAGTGATCCTCCTGCCTCACCTTTCCAAAGTGCTAGGATTATAGGCGTGAGCCACCTTGCGGCCTATATTATCATATTGAAAGAGAAACAAATCAACCAGAAATAGAGTCGGTCAGCCATTTAAGTCTAGAAAAAGGAAAGTTATTTTAGCAACATATAGGATTGCTCCCGGCTTCAAGCGATCCTACCATCTCAGCTCCCAAATTGCTGGGATTACAGGTGTGAGCCACCACGACTGTAAACTGTGTGAACAAATGTGAACCTGAAAGAGCCAATCATTAAAGATGGATCCTGGGTGGCTGATTGTGCCTAAATTTAAAATAGAGCCAAGCAGCCATTTGCTGATGACTAGATGTCACACACACAGAGTTCTTCTCTCTCTCTCTCTCTCTCTCTCTTTTTTTTTTCTGAGACAGAGTTTCGCTCTTGTCCAAGGCTGGAGTGCAATGGCGCGATCTTGGCTCACCGCGACCTTCACCTCCCGGGTTCAAGCGATTCTCCTGCCTCAGCCTCCCGAGTAGCTGGGATTACAGACATGCGCCACCAAGCCCAGCTAATTTTGTATTTTTAGTAGAAATGGGGTTTTCCATGTTGGTCAGGCTGGTCTTGAACTCCCGACCTCAGGTGATCTGCCCACCATGGCCTCCCAAAGTGCTGGGATTACAGGCGTGAGCCACCGCACCCGGCCCACACTCTGAGTTATCTAAAAACCAGTGTTTATTTATTTATTTATTTTTTGAGACGGAGTCTTGCTCTGTCGCCCAGGCTGGAGTGCAGTGGCGTGATCTCTGCTCACTGCAACCTCTTCCTCCCAGGTTCAAGTGATTCTCCTGTCTCAGCCACTGGAGTAGCTGGGATTACAGGTACCCGCCACCAAGCCTGGCTAATTTTGTATTTTCGGTAGAGACCGGGTTTCACCCTGTTGGCCAGGCTGGTTTCGAACTCCCGAGTTTCAGTAATCTGCCCGTCTCAGCCTCCCTAAGTGCTGGGATTACAGGTGTGAGCCACTGCGCCCAGCCCAAAACCAGCGTTTTTTAAAACCTTGGTACTTTCAGAACTCACCTGAGCTGGCCGGGCGTAGTGGGGCGCGTGTGTAATCCCAGCACTTTGGGAGGCCTAGGCGGGCAGATCACTTAAGGTCAGGAGTTCAAGACCAGCCTGGCCAACAGGGTGAAACCCTGCCTCTATTGAAAGTACAAAAATTAGCCGGGCGTGGTGGCACATGTCTGCAATTTCAGCTACTTGGGAGGCTGAGGGAGAAGAATCACTTGAATCTGGGAGGTGGAGGTTGCTGTGAGGGGAGATTGCACCATGGAACTCCAGCCTGTGCTACAGAGTGAGAGAGATCCTGTCTCAAAAACAAACAAACAAACAAACAAAACACAACCAAAAAAACCATTCACCTGAACCAACCAATCAGAACTCAATCTGGGCTGAAGAGGCCAATCAGAACTGAGCTATATTGACCAATCAGAACTAAGCTAGTTTGACGCCTTCATTTGCATAAATGGACCTGATTGGAACTTGGGCAGGAACTTGTGCTATAAAAGCCGAACTGTCCAGCTGGACGCGGATGGCTCACATCTGTAATCCCAGCACTTTGGGAGGCCAAGGGGTGGGGGGGCAGATCATCTGAGGTCAGGAGTTCGAGACCAGCCTGACCAACATGGTGAAACTCGTCTCTACTAAAAATACAAAAATTAGCAGGACCTGGTGGTGTGCACCTGTAGTCCCAGATACTCGGGAGGCTGAGGCAAGAGAACTGCTTGAACTGGGCGGTGGAGGTTGCAGTGAGCCAAGATCCCACCACTGCACTCCAGCCTTGGTGACAGAGCAACACTCCATCTCAAAAAATAAAAATAAAAATAAAATAATAAAATACTGAACTGTCTCTTTAGTTTTTGGAGCTTAACTTCGTTTTACACGGAAGGCCGCATTTCTATAGTTTGCTAACTGTTCACTAGAATAAAAGCCTTTTTCCTCCAAATTCCTTTTCAGATATATATATATTTTCAGAGACAGAGTCTTGCTCTGTCGCCCAGGCTGGAGTGTATGATCTCAGCTCATTGCAACCTCCGTCTCCCAGATTCAAGCGATTCTCATGCCTCAGCCTCCAGAGTAGCTGGGATTACAGGTGTGTGTAAATAGCCACAAAGCTTGGCTAATTTTTGTATTTTTAGTAGAAACAGGGTTTCACTATGTTGGCCCAGCTGGTCTCGAACTCCTGGCCTCAATTGCTCCACCTGCCTTGGCCTCCCAAAGTGGTGGGATTACAGGCATGAGCCACTGCCCCTGACCAAAGCTTGATTTTTCTAGACATCCTGAGGCAAGTGGGACAGAAGACAAAGCCCAGGACCTGGGGGAAGAGGGAAATCTAAATCTAGGAACTCAGTCTACAGTTTCAGTGAGGGAAAATGGGAAGTAATTATATCTTTCCCCAACAGAGTGAAAAGAAAGATGTCTTGGAAGAGAGAGTTTGTGGAGGTGTGTGTGGGTGGCACTAGACCCATAAGCTAGCCCTCCCAGGGATATGTAGCCCAAATATACATCTCCTGGTGGTCAAAAATACAAACCTCAAATGGTGAATTGTTTCAAGTGTCCTTCTTTGCAGAAGCAAAAGCAAATCCTCTCTGGAGGAATAAACCTTTATCCTAGGCCTCCAAGAATTCCCACAAATATTTTCCAAGGAAAATGTGGCTCATGGTAAAAAATAACTTAGTGTGCAAAGAATGAGAATGAGTAAAGAAAACTGACATGAGAAACAGATCTGCTAATTTCAACGATCTGGTAAAAGAATAAAAGTAGGCCAGGCATGGTGGTTCATGCCTGTAATCCCAGCACTTTGGGAGGCCGAGGCGGGTGGATCACCTGAGGTTAGGAGTTCGAGGCCAGCCTGACCAATATGGTGAAACCCCAGCTCTACTAAAAATACAAAAATTAGCTGGGTGTGGTGGTGCTCGCCTGTAATCCCAGCTACTCTGGAGGCTGAGGCAGGAGAATTACTTGAACCCAGGAGGTGAAGGTTGCAGTGAGCCGAGATCGCGCCACTGCACTCCAGCCTGGGTGACAGAGCGAGACTCTGTCTCAAAAAAATAAATAAAATATAAATAAAGGCCAGGCATGGTGGCTCATGCCTGTAATCCCAGCACTTTGGGAGACCAAGGTGGGAGGATCATGAGGTCAAGAGATCGAGACCATCTTGGCGAACATGGTGAAACCCCGTCTCTACAAAAAATACAAAAATTAGCTGGGTGTGGTGGCACTCGCCTCTAGTCCCAGCTACTCAGGAGGCTGAGGCAGGAAAATTGCTTGAACCCTAGAGGCAGAGGTTGCAGTGAGCCAAGGTCGCACCACTGCACTCCAGCCTGGCAACAGAGTGAGCCTCTGTCTCAAAAAAAAAATAAATAAATAAAAATAAATAAATAAAATAGTTTATTAAACACCATTTTGTTCCCAGGAGATATATGTGTGTGTGTGTGTGTGTGTGTGTGTGTGTGTGTGTGTGTATAAACATATACATATATATATACACATATACACATATATACACACACATATATACACATATATACATATATACACATATACACATATACATATATATATACACACATATATATATACACACATATATATATACACACACACACACACACACATATATATATATATATATATATATATATATACACTTTTTTTTTTGATACAGAGTTTCACTCTTGTTGCCCATGCTGGAGTGCAATGGCACAATCTTGGCTCACTGCAACCTCCGCCTCCCAGGTTCAAGCGATTCTCCTACCTCAGCCTCCCAAGTAGCTGAGATTACTGGTGGCTGCCACCACACCTGGCTAATTTTTTGTATTTTTAGTAGAGATGGGGTTTCACCATGTTGGTCAGGCTGGTCTCGAACTCCTGACCTCAGGTGATCCACCTGCCTTGGCCTCCCAAAGTGTTGAGATTACAGGCGTGAGCCACTGCACCTGGCTGCAAGTGAGGTTTTTATTTTTATTTTTATTTTTTTAGATAGGGGTCTATCTTGCCCAGGTTGGTCTTGAACCCCTGGGCTCCAGTGATCCTCCCACATCAGCCTCTCCAGTAGTTGGGGTTATAGGCACCTGCCACCACACCAGACCCAAAGGTTCTATCTATACAAACACCACGTCCCTATGGTCATGTGTTACACATTCCAAATAGATTTACATCCCAGATGTAGTGGCGCATGCCTGTAGTCCCAGCTATTTGCGAGGCTGAGGCAGGAGAATTGCTTGAACCTGGGAGGCAGAGGTTGCAGTGAGCCAAGATCATGCCTCTGCACTCCAGCCTGGGCAACGGAGTGAGACTCTGTCTCAAAAAAAAAAAATATTTACATCCAGAAGGCAGGGTTGTGTTTGCTGTTTTTCCCATCATTTTATTTTCTTTATTTTTAGGAAGACGGAAAAGAGATGTGGGGGAGGGTTCTCACTATATTGCCCATGCTCTTCTGGAACTCCTGGGCTCAAAGGATCCTCAGGTCTCAGTCTCCAGAGTGGCTGGGATTACAGACATGCACCACCACCGTGCCTGGCTAAAGGAAACTTTTTTTTTTTTAGACAGAGTTTCCCTCTGTCACCCAGACTGGAGTGCAATGGTGCGATCTCGGCTTACTGCAACTTCTGCCTCCCAGGCTTAAGTGATTCTTATACCTCACCCTCCCGAGTAGCTGGCATTACAAGCAGGTGCCACCACACCTGGCTAACTTTTGTATTTTTAGTAGAGACTGGATTTTGCCATGTTGGCCATGCTGGTCTTGAACTCCTGACCTCAAGTTATTTGACCACCTTGGCCTCCCAAATTGCTGGGATTACTGGTGTGAGCCACTGTGCCCAGCCAAGGAAACTATTATGGCTCCAAGTTACTATAGGGGTAGTCCTATCTGAAGTCCAATGGCACCATCTCAGCTCACTGCAACCTCTGCCTCCTGGGTTCAAGCAATTTTCCTGCCTCAGCCTCCTGAGTAGCTGGGATTACAGGCGCATGCCAACACACTCGGCTGACTTTTTGTATTTTTAGTAGAGATGGGGTTTCACCATATTGGCCAGGCTGGTTTCAAACTCCTGACGTTGTGATCTGCCCGCCTCGGCCTCCCAAAGTTCTGGGATTACAGGCGTGAGCCACTGTGCCCGGCCCAGAAATTTTTTAATGTTTATTCTTTTTTTTTGAGACGGAGTCTCACTCTGTCACCCAGGCTGTAGGGCAGTGGTGCGATCTTGGCTCACTGCAACCTCTGCCTTCTGGGTTCAAGCAATTCCCTGTCTCAGCCTCCTGAGTAGCTGGGATTACAGGCGCCCGCCACCAGGCCCGGCTAATTTTTGTATTTTTAGTAGAGCCAGGGTTTTGCCATCTTGGCCAGGCTGGTCTTGAACTCTTGACCTCGTGATCCACCTGCCTCGGCCTCCCAAAGTGCTGGGATTACGGGCATGAGCCACTGCGCCCGGCCCTAGAAGTTGTTTTTAGAAAACAATTTCTCAGCCATGTTTCATAATCCAACCATTGGCTCTCTGCCCAATATTGAAAATATAATTTTCAGCAATTTAATCCTCATATATGGGTCATTATTATGTAGATTTGATTTTGCTAGTGGTTTACTTATGTCCCTGGAATCATAAGGTAAAAAGTATTGGACTTCAAGTCAGCAGATACAGTCTTGTCCCAGATTTGTCAATAATTTGTTGTGTAACCCTGGCAAGTCACTTAATCTTAGTTTTCTCTTCTGGGTTAACAATTATCAAGATAGAATCATAGTATGTTGGAATTGGCAGGGACTTCATTAATTACAATTTCTATTTTGTGGAGAGGTTGAGTGACTTACCCAACCACCTGTATAGTCAGGACGTTTTCTTTCTTTCTTTCTTTTTTTTTTTTTTGAGATGGAGTCTCTCACTCTGTCACCCAGGCTGGAGTGCAATGGCACGATCTCGGCTCACTGCAACCTCCAACCCCCGGGTTCAAGTGATTCTCTTGTCTCAGTCCCTCTAGTTGCTGGGATTACAGGTGCACGCCGCCATGCCTGGCTAATTTTTTGTGTGTGTGTGTGTTTTAGTAGAGATGGGTTTTTACCATGTTGCCCAGGCTGGTCTTGAACTCCTGAGCTCAGGCAATCCACCCGCCTCAGCCTCCCAAAGTGTTAGGATTACAGGCGTGAGCCACTGCGCCCAGCCTCTTTTTTTTTTTTTTTTTTTTTTGAGATGGAGTTTTGCTCCATTGCCCAGGCTGGAGTGCAGTGGCACAATCTTGGCTCACTGGAACCTCTGCCTCTGGGGTTCAAGTGATTTTCCTGCCTCAGCCTCCAGAGTAGCTGGGATTACAGGCACATGCCACCATTCCCAGCTAATTTTTTGTATTTTTAGTATAGTCATGGTTTCACCATGTTGGCCAGGACCTCAAGTGCTCTGCGTGCCTTGGCCTCCCAAAGTGTTGAGATTACACACAGGAACAACCACACCAGGCCTTCAGGAGCTTTTCTAGAGCAAGCAGTCAATCTTTGGCAACACAGACTCAGGCTTTCTTTCAATGTTGTTTCAAGAAACAAACAAAAAGTGAAAGCACTAAACAAATATAAGGCCATAAAAAAAGAAAAAAAAGCCTGATAAATGTTAACCATTAGCCTGCACTGTAGCCTGAAAACTTATCTGAAAATTTAGCCCATCTAACGCAAAGAAAATTTCTTTCTTTTTTTTTTTTTCTTGTTTGAGACAGAGTCTTGCACTGTTGCCCAGGCTGGAGTGCAATGGTGCGATCTTGGCTCACTGCAACCTCTGCCTCCCGGGTTCATGTGATTCTCCTGCCTCAGCCTCCCGAGTAGCTGGGATTACAGGTGCACACCACCACACCCAGCTAATGTTTTGTATTTTTAGTAGAGATGAGGTTTCACTATGTTGGCCATGCTGGTCTTGAACTCCTGAGCTCATGATCCGCTCTCCTTGGCCTCCCAAAGTGCTGGGATTACAGGCATGAGCCACCGTGCCTGGCCCTCAAAGATAATTTCAAATTGAGAAGTTCTGAAAGTATAATAGCTTTTTTTTTTTTTTTTTTTTGAGACAGAGTTTCCCTCTTGTTGCCCAGGCTGGAGTGCCATGGCGTGATCTCGGCTTACTGCAACCTCTGCCTCCCAGGTTCAAGCAATTCTCCTGCCTCAGCCTACCGAGTAGCTGGGATTACAGGCATGCATCATCACGCCCGGCTAATTTTGTATCTGTTAGTAGAGATGGAGTTTCTCCATGTTGGTCAGGCTGGTCTCGAACGCCCGACCTCAGGTGATCCGTCCACCTCGACCTCCCAAAGTGCTGGGATTACAGGCATGCGCTACCGCGCCCAGCCTGAGAAGTTCTGAAACTATAGAAGGAAAGATCAGAAAAATAATAGGTAGGAAAAAAAATTCATGGTTGGCTTGGAGAATACCCTTGAAGGGTGTTAAGTAAAAATGATAGGAGGCCTTTGTTTTGGACTAAACTCCTGCACCAGGCCCCAATAGACCTGGCTAAAATAAAAATGGAGTCACCCATGCTAAAGTTTCACCTCACCAAATCCAAACTAAGTTGTTACCAAACCCAAGCTAAGTTGTTATCTGACCTTCAGAGAAATCAGGAAAGAGGGATAAGGACAGCCAGTTTCCCAAACAGGCTTGTTTTAATGTTGCATGATAATGAAGCTCCCTCTGTTGTAATCCTTACACAAAAGAAGTAGCCTGAAGTAACTGATGTCAACTAATCAGTTATTTTTCTATTGTTCTGTCTCTCTGTCCTCACCTTCCAAGGAAAGTAGCTTAGAAGTGACCAATATGTCAAGGTCCCATGAGAAGACTGAAAAAAAGAGAAGAAAGAGGAAAGAAAAGAATGACAAGAAAGAGAAAGAAAGAAACCAATATGCTCTTTGTTCTTTGCTTTTGCTTCCTCAAGCTTTTCTCTGTCTACAAAGCCAACCTCTCCTGCTCAGCTCATCAGAACATTCACTCCACTTTCTGGAATGAAGTGTTGCCTGATCCTAGAGTCGCAATAAAGCCAACTGAGATCTTAAAACTAAATTCGTTGTAATTTTGTCCTTTGCCAAGGGGGGAAAAACAACAAAAACTTCCCAAGAGTACCTATATCCTCTTATCACTTTTTCTGGTCTTTTCCTTAGTTTTTGCGAAGTGAAATTGGGAAGGTGGAGACTGTCTGTGCTCACACGTTTCTGAGGGAATGGTGTGCAAGAGGTTACTTGAATCCAAATTAATTGACTCACCATTTCCCACTTATACTAGACATTATTACATCAGTTCTCTAATGTAGCACCATGCCTTCCCCAGTTACAACCCAAAAGAACGTGCTGAAACCTGCGGACACCACACTCAATGCAAAAACTCCAAGTCCCGAAATCCTCCGTAGCCTGTCCCCACCGCCTCCTCGCAAGAGCAGCCTCTTCAGTACTGGGAGTTGTAGTCATTCAGAGTCTTCCTTTCCGGGATGAGGGGCGAGAGCGCGCCTCGAGGAGCTACATCTCCCAGGAGGCAGTGCGCACTACGCCCTTGCTGGCGCCGGGATCCTCCCTCTCTCGCTCCTCCCTTTCTGGGCTGCACCGCTCACGCCTTCCTGTTAGTCCGAGCTGGGAGAAGTTCACTCCGATCAGCTGATCCCAACTGACAACAGGAGAGGAGGAAGCCCGGGAGGCAACGAAGGAGGAGGGTGGCGGAGATGGAGATGAGGATGGATCTGCCGGTGTCCTGAGGAATAGCCTCTGCCCCCACTGGCGCCCTGCGGCCCCCCGACGCCGCCTTGCTGCGGCCGAGCTTCTCAGTGGTGGGATCCCCGGGCCGCGGCGGGCAGGGCAGGGCGGGGAGGGCACGGCCCAGCGCGGGGCGAGTGATCGTCCTGGGGCTCAGGCTGCCCTCGGGAGGAAGGGGGGGCGGGTGCGGCGGGGGTGGGGGTGGGGTGGTATAAACAATGGATTCGGCTCCGGGTTTTGCCGGCGTGGGGGGGATTTTGGGGGACCTTCTTTGTTCTTAGGCTCCGCTCCTGCCCCTCGGGTTGTGGCGGTGGTGTCCGGGTGGAAGGAAGGGTGAGGAACCCCCGGCTGGGGAGAGGTGTCGAGGTGGGGGCCCGAGTGGGCAAAATGTTTGGTTGACATGGCCGGGCGTGAGGTGTACTTTTGAAGGTTGATTTTATATTTTTCTCAATTGTGACAAGTTTGATTTTTGTTTCTGTTTTGGGAGCTGGCTGGGCATGTCTGAGGTTAGATTGTAGTAAATAAGATCCCCTAGTCACTCCCTTCGCCTTCCTTGTTTATCTGAAAATAAGGTTGATAGATTGATTACTGTAGGGGAGGAGTGACTATCAGAAAGGCAGGGCTTTACACCTTGTCGGGGCCTTGGAATGCGGGTCAAGGCTAGGGGGAATTAGGAATATAATTGTCAAAGTGACAAAAGCCCCTTTCTTGCCCCAGTTATCTTTTTTCGTATTTTGAAGTTATTTTTAAGTTAGTTTTTAAGTGACAAAGAGAAAAATTATTTGTTTTGATTCACTGCAGGCCTGGCTTTGCCATGGGTCAAAGTAGAGGAATTGTCTCCTGTTGCTCCTTTTTTTTTTTTTTTTCAGTTAGTGAAAGAAGGGACAGAAGAATTACAGTGTAAAAAAATTGTTTTTAAAGATGAAATTGTTACTATTGTTTCTAAGTTTTGAGTCTTTAATATACATCTAGCTAGAGTTGAAACAATCCAGTTACAAGGCTAACCAGGTCGGCCCAGGTATTTGATAGATCTAAAGTTTATTATTACATTTTCATTAGCTTTGTGAAGGCCTCTCCACTCCTCCCAATTGTGGGATGCATGTGGGGGTGCAGAGGGCTGTCCTTCCAAGGACTACTCACTTAGTGATTTAGATTCTGAATTTAATATCTGAATGAACAGAAAATTCCAGTCTGGGAAATAGAGCAGCAAAGTCTCTTAAATGCCTTGGGCCTAGAGGTGGCGTTTGTTGTCAAGAGGAGGAGCTTTAGCCACAATTTTGAGATTTTTTTTTTTTTTTTTTTTTTTGAGGGAGTCTTGCCCTGTCTTCCAGGCTGGAGTGCAGTGGCAAGATCTTGGCTCACTGCAACCTCCGCCTCCTGGGTTCAAGTGATTCTCCTGCCTCAGCCTCCCTAGTAGCTTGGATTACACGTGCCTGCCACCATGCCCAGCTAATATTTGTATTTTTAGTAGAGATGGGATTTCACCATGTTGGACAGGGTAGTCTCGAACTCCTGACCTCAAGTGATCTGCCCACCTCGGCCTCCCAAAGTGATGGAATTACAGGTGTGAGCCACTGCGCCTGGCTATACAACAAGCCAGTGTAAGTGTTAAGATAGAAAATGAGATTTCTGGCCAGGTGCGGTGACTCACGCCTGTAATCCCAGCACTTTGGGAGGCCAAGGCGGGCAGATCACCTGGGGTCAAGAGTTCAAGACCAGCCTGGCCAACATGGTGAAACCCCGTCTCTACTAAAAATACAAAAATTAGCTGGGCATTGTGGCTAGCGCGTGTAATCCCAGCTCCTTGGGAGGCTGAGGCAGGAGAATCGCTTGAACCCGGGAGGCGGAGGTTGCAGTGAGCCGAGACTGTCCCATTGCACTCCAGCTTGGGCAGCAAGAGCAAAACTCTGTCTCAAAAAAAAAAAAAAGAAAAAAAAGAGGAATGAGATTTCTCTCAGCAGTTCTGGGCTAATATTTAATTTAGTCAAAAAAAATTTTTTTAAAGGTGCACTTCTGTTTTTTAGATGAGTGAAATCCTTTTCCTTCCTCTATTCTAGGTATCCCCTGAAATACTGACTTCAGGTCGAATTATATTGAAAAGCTCCTGACCACTTTCTTTCATTACCAAAACTTTGTAGCTGATGTCCAACCGATGAACCCACCACCGTGAACCCATCAGACCTCTCTCAGATAGCCATAAAAGACCCTTCCAAGTCAATTTTGACCACATCTTTGCTTGCACTTTATGGAGGATGAAACCATCAAACCAAATCAACGTTGCTGCTAATACAAGAGTCTTAGAGGCAGCAAATTAAAAATTTGAACATTTGTTTGTGAAGAACTATAACAGGACATGAAAGGTGTTCTTTTTTAAAGTGTTCAGAACCCTGTGGAAGTTTCGTGCAGTCTTCAGACTCAAATCTTCGTCTTCACCCCCGGGGCAAGCTCAGTGACTATTATATGGTGGGTGTGTTTCCTTACCAGCGTGAGTATGAGTGCCCAGACTTCCCCAGCAGAGAAGGGCCTGAATCCGGGGCTGATGTGCCAGGAAAGTTACGCTTGCAGCGGGACTGATGAAGCTATCTTTGAGTGTGATGAGTGCTGCAGTCTGCAGTGTCTCCGCTGCGAGGAGGAGCTCCATCGGCAGGAGCGCCTGAGAAACCATGAGCGGATAAGACTCAAACCTGGCCATGTCCCTTACTGTGACCTCTGCAAGGGTCTCAGTGGGCATTTACCAGGTGTTAGGCAGAGGGCAATAGTGAGGTGCCAGACCTGCAAAATTAACTTGTGCCTGGAGTGCCAGAAGAGGACTCATTCTGGGGGTAACAAAAGGAGACACCCTGTTACTGTGTACAATGTCAGTAATCTCCAGGAGTCACTGGAGGCAGAAGAGATGGATGAGGAGACCAAGAGGAAGAAGATGACTGAGAAGGTTGTGAGTTTCCTCCTAGTAGACGAAAATGAAGAAATTCAGGTAAGCACACGGGTATAGTGGGATTCATGTGTAGTGGAGCAGATCTGTTGTTGGAAGCCAGCTCTCAAAAAACGATGTCCAAGAAGAGATCACATTTTAATCATTAAAAGGCAAGACCTCTGGAGGCTTTAGTTGCATGGAGTCAGATTTAGTTACCAGCTGCATGACCTCTGGCCGAATTACTTTACTTTTCTGAGCCTTAGCTTTTTCATCTATAAAATGGGGGACAGCCTACTTCATCGAGTTGTGAGGTTGAAATGAGACAGTGTTTGTAGAGCCTGTCGCATAATAAATGGTCAGTGTATACGGTAGCTGTTGTTAGTATTAATTGTAGCATTATTATTAGAACAAACTGATTTAAAACATTTCAGAATGAGAGCACCCTGGCAAGCTGTGAGTAAATGTTAGTGATGCGGGACTGCACCTATCCAGGGAAACACACACTAACAGTGGGTCCCATGGGAGTGCTAGCTAATAAGGCATAAACCTGTTATCTTGATTTAAAAAGTGGCTTTTAATAAGGACAATATTCTTTCCAGATGGTCTCTTCATATATATATTATATATATAAAACATATATAAAATATATATATAATATATATAAAACATAAAATATATATTATATATAAAACACATAAAATATATATATTATATATAAAACATATATAATATATATTATATATAAAACATATATAATATATATTATATATAAAACATATATAATATATATTATATATAAAACATATATAATATATATTATATATAAAACATATAATATATATATTACATATAAAACATATAAAATATATATTATATATAAAACATATATAAAATATATATATATATATATATATATATATTTTTTGAGATGGAATTTCGCTCTGTCACCCAGGCTGGAGTGCAGTGGTGCCATCTTGGCTCACTGCAACCTCTACTTCCTGGATTCAAGCGATTTTCCTGCCTCAGCCTCCCAAGTAGCTGGGATTACAGACATGTGCCATCACGCCTGGTAATTTAGAATTTTTAGTAGAGACGGGGGTTCACCATGTTGGCCAGGTTGATCTTGAACTCCTGACCTCAAGTGATCCACCCGCCTTGGCCTCCCAGAGTGCTGGGATTACAGGCGCGATTGGCTGGTCTCTTCATATTTTCTTGTATAGGTTTCTGATCAGTAAAAGCCAGTGAGGGGCATCTGGGAGTACAGAATGACTAGGGGATATTTGGCTTGAGTCTGAGTTGGGGAGATGGTAGTGTTGTGACAGCTAGGTGAGATTGGGGAAGGGGTAGTATAATGTTTATACTTTTGAATGAAGGTAGTGTAATGTCTATACTTTTCTTTTGAGTGGGCTTTCAAGTGAAGTTTGCTTGAATTCACATACTTGTTTACCAATCACTATATAGCCAAGGGTAAGTGATAAAAATCCTTTCCATTCCTAATCTTTTTGAGTCCTATCAACAATCCTGTGAAGTACCAGTGAAACTGAGGCACAGCTTAAATGATTTTTATCACAGTCTGGCACATAGTATCCAGTACCAGTTTGTTGTAGTCAGTATCACTGGAGTATCTGTGGTCCACTGACTCAGTACTTTTGATGGTGGTGACTCCTTAGGTTTCCAGTTTGGAGGGGAGTACCTATGTAAGTTACCATTTGAGAGGCTGCCTAATTACCCACCTAATATTTTTCTTCTGTACTTTTTTCCTTCTTGGATAAAGCTGATGGAAATGAGTTACATCATGATTCCTGTATACTTCCATTGTCATGTTAATACTTTGCTAACACAGATTTTCTTTATTGGTTTGAGAGGATCGAATAGAGTTATGGAAGAGTGACCTAGATCCCATTCCATGTCCCTTGTCAGCGATAATGTCTTTGTTATGGATTACGCTGTAATTGGGCGACATTGTGGACTGAATCTTTTATAAATGGAACACTTGGATTTTGGGTGATTCTTGATGGTTTTGCTCAGTTCTCTGTAATGTCAGCTTTTGGAAAGTCATAGTTTGGTTGTTGCCACTTTTGTCAAATGAGGGGAAGCTTTGGGATGAACTAGTAACCCTCATGGATTGCATTGGCACCTTTAAAAAGAATGTTTTTTTGGGGAGGAGAATGTGTATTTTTTTTTCTTTTTGTAGCATTGATATGTGTTCCTTAGTTGAGAATTAAGAGCATATAAAGAAGTGTAATGAAGAAGATAAATCTAACTACCCAGAGATGATATTGGTCCTTCATCTTTTTTTTTCTTGAATGTAATATGTATATAATTGGATTGTTTGTAAAGATTCTTCCCACATTTCCTCCATTCATAAACATTAACCACGTCCTAGGAAATAACAGTTTATTAACTGCAAGCAGCATTTTTGGGACTGATGGTTTAGACATAGAATTCATTGATTTTAGGTGATTTGTTCTCATAGAGTCATAAATGGAGAAATACTTAAAATATCTAGTTCAGTTTTCTGATAGTGAATGTTCAAAACAATTAGATGATTGACATAAATCTAGGTTATAAATTCAGCTAGATTGTGAACTGGAGAGCAGGACCATGTTTCATGGCCTATGCCATGTACAGTGGTAAACACATTGTCAGTGCATAAATACTTACGGATTGGTGTTGTCACATCTCAACTTCAGTTATTTATTTATTTATTTATTTATTTATTTATTTATTTTTATTTTGAGACAGAGTCTCACTCTGTCCCCCAGGCTGGAGTGCAGTGGCACAATCTTGCCTCACTGCAACCTCCGTCTCCCAGGTTCAAGCGATTCTCCTGCCTCAGCCTCCTGAGTAGCTGGAACTACCGGCACACACCACCATGCCTGGCTAATTTTTGTGTTTGTTTTAGTAGAGATGGGGTTTCTCTATGTTGGTCAGGCTGGTCTTGAACTCCTGACCTCAAGTTATCCGCCCGCCTCAGCCTCCCAAGATGCTGGGATTACAGGCGTGAGTGACTGTGCCCAGCCAACTTCAGTTTTTAAAAAATGGATATCAAGGCCAGACATGGTGGCTCATACCTGTAATCCCAGCACTTTGGGAGGCCCAGGCAGGTAGATCACCTGAGGTCAGGAGTTCTAGAGCAGCCGGGCCAACATGGTCAAACCCTGTCTCTAATGAAAATAAAAAAAGTAGCTAGGCATGGTGGCTCACGCCTATAATCCCAGTACCTGGGATTACAGGCACCTGCCACCACGCCCTGCTAATTTTTGTGTTTTCAGTAGGGACCTGGTTTTGCATGTTGGCTAGGATGATCTCCAACTCCTGACCTAATTGATTCTCCTACCCTGGCTTCCCAAAGTGCTGGGATTACAGGCTGAGCCGCCGTGCCTGGCTCCTGCTCTTTTTTCTTAAAGCAGTCACCATTAACAATGAACTGCGACCGGGCGCGATGGCTCACGCCTGTAATCACATCACTTTGGGAGGCTGAGGGAGGTGGATCACGAGGTCAGGAGCTCGAGACCAGTCTGGCCAACATGGTGAAACTCCATCTCTACTAAAAATACAAAAAATTAGCCTGGTGTGGTGGTGTGCACCTGTAATCCCAGCTACTCAGGAGGCTGAGGCAGGAGAATCGCATGAACCCGGGAAGTGGAGGTTGCAGTGAGCTGAGATCACACCATTGCACTCCAGCCTGGGTGACAGTGCGAGACTCTGTCTGAAAAAACAAAGAAACAAAGAAACAAACAAAAAACAGTGAACTGCATGCCTTTCTAGAATTTTTTCATGTATACTTATCCTTTCCTTTCCTTTCCTTTTTTTTTTTTTTTTTGAGATGGAGTCTCACTCTGTCACCCAGCAGGTGCTGGAGTGTGATGGCACAATCTTGGCTCACTGCAATCTCTGCCTCCTGGGTTCGAGCAATCCTTCTGCCTTAGCTTCCCAAGTAGATGGGACTACAGGTGTGTGCCACCATGCCCAGCTAATTTTTGTATTTTTCGTAGAGATGGAGTTTCACCATATTGACCAGGATGGTCTTGATCTCTTGACCTCGTGACCTGCCCGCCTTGGCCTCCCAAAGTGCTAGGATTACAGATGTGAGCCACTGCGCCCGACATAAATTTTCTTTTTCTTTTTTTTTGAGACTGAGTCTCACTCTGTTGCCCCGGCTGGAGTGCCGTGGTGTGATCTCGGCTCACTGCAACCTCCGTCTCCTGGGTTCAAGTGATTCTCCTGCGTCAGCCTCCCGAGTAGCTGTGATTGTAGGCACCACCACCACGCCTGGCTAATTTTTGTATTTTTAGTAGAGACGGGGTTTCACCTTGTTGGTCAGGCTGGTCTCGAACTCCTGACCTCATGATCCACCTGCCTTGGCCTCCCAAAGTGCTGGGATTACAGGCGTGAGCCACTGCGCCTGGCCTCGGCCTAAACTTTATAATTAAACTTCATTGTGGCCAAAAGCACCAGCTCACCAATTCTTTATGGCTGCTGTGAGAATCCGATGAACCATAGCTCTGTATAAATGTATTATTTATCATTATCAAAGTGTTATTGATGAACTTCCTAATAGCAGTAAAGTGTCTATCAGTTAGGTTCTGATTTTGTTTTTCTTTTCATGTTTCTAGGCATTTGTGGGTTTTGAGCATTTTCAATTTAGTACATAGGGATTTTTTTTTTAGATGGGGTCTTGCTGTGTTGCCCAGGCTGGCGTTGAATTCCTGGGCTCAAGCAATCCTTCCACTTACAGCCTCCCAAGTAGCTGAGACTACAGGTATGCACCACTGTGCCCGGCCCATAGATAGAGGTTATTTTAGCACCTGTAGGCTGTAACCCTTGTGTGTGGTCTCCTCAAATTCTATGGCCTAGAGTCTCCTAAGATTTTTGTGTATGATTTGAGTACTACTCAGTTTCTTTTAGAAAATGTAAAAGGACTAAAAGCTTCCTTTAAGGGTGAACATTTTATCATTACCTTGTCATTTGAGTGTGTACTATAGTGGTAAATTTGAGAAGAGACTGACTGTTGGTCTCAGAAGTAGAAAGTCACCTGTGGCTCCTAAATGGACACATTCGACCTGCTAGCCAAAGACATCCATTAATTCATCACATTTTTGGCGCATATATTATGTGCCAGGAACTTTTTTTTTTTTTTTTTGAGATGGAGTCTCTGTCACCCAGGCTGGAGTTCAGTGGCACGATCTTGGCTCACTACAACCTCCGCCTCCTGGGTTCAAGCAATTGTTCTGCCTCAGCCTCCTGAGTAGCTGGGATTACAGGTGCGCGCCACCACGCCTGGCTAGTTTTTTTGTATTTTTAGTAGAGATGGGGTTTCCCCATGTTGGTCACGCTGGTCTTGAACTCGTGACCTCATGATCTGCCCACCTTGGCCTCCCAAAGTGATGGGATTACAGGCATGAGCCACTGCGCCCAGCCGTGCCAGGCACTTTCTGTGTTCTGGGGATACATGGTTAATAAGACATGGTCCATTCCTTCATAGAGCTTACTATTCAAGTGGGGAAAGCAGATTTCACACATGTAAACACCTAAATAGTTGGTTCAGCTGTAGTGAGTATTATTAAGAAGAGTGATTTGGAAGCCTCTTTGGCAGGATGGTCAGAGAAGGTCTTATTGTAGAGGTGCCTTTTTTTTTTTTTTTTTTTTTTTGAGATGGAGTCTTGCTCTGTCGCCTAGGCTGGAGCGCAGTGGCGCAATCTCACCTCACTGCAACCTCCGCCTCCCGGGTTCAAGCGATTCTCCTTCCTCCGCCTCCCAAGTAGGTGGGATTACAGGCACCCATCAACACACCCGACTAATCTTTGTATTTTTAGTAGAGATGGGGTTTTACTATGTTGGCCAGGCTAGTCTTGGACTCCAGACCTCAGGTGATCTGCCCACCTCAGCCTCCCAAAGTGCTGGGATTATAGGCATGAGCCACTGCCCCCAGCTTGCAGAGGTGATTTTTAAGCAGAGACCTTATGGGTAATACTAATGTGCTATGTAGGCCTCCAGATAGAGGGAATGGGAAGAAAATGAAGGTTGGATGGCATGTTCGAGGCTAGAAAGAATGCCAGTGTGGCTGGAGTGAGCTGGCAGAGAATGGTAAGGGAAGAGGTGCAGAGGGAAGCAGGTGCCAATGCATGGGAGGCCGTGCAGGCTGTAGAAGTAAGTGGATTTTATTTTAAGGGTGATGGGAGACACCAGACTGCTTTATGCTAAGAAGTCACAGGACCTGATAGAAGCTATAGTGACCTGATAGAGACTGATGTATAGACTAGATGGTAGTGACTGTAGAGGGACAAGAAGGAAGGCAGGGAGACCACTTAGGAGGCTGTTGCAGAGGGTGGGGAAAGAAGTGGTGTAGATTTGGTGTTACTGAGATGGGGAAATGGAGAGACATTGATGAATTTTGGACAAAGTTTGTAGGTAAAGTAGGAGTGCTGATATGTTGGATGGAGGAGTGAGGGAGTAGGAGAACTCAGTGGTGACTTGTAGGCATTTGGTTTGTACAAATAACACTTGCTTATTTAAGACACCAGGTTTTATTGTGTGAAATTGATAAAACTAAGTCTTTAAGAACCTGATTAGTACAAAAAAGAGAGATAAATTAGTCCCATTTGTATTATCTAACACAGTGGTTGTCAATCAGGAGCGATTTTGCTCCCTCAAGGGACATTGGCAATGATTGGAGACATCTTTGGTTGTCACAACTGAGCTTTTGGGGGAGCATGCTGCTGGATAGTGCATAGAGGCCAGGGTGCTACTTAAAACCACAGGCAGGACATAGGGCAGCCCCGACAGAAGGAGTTATCTGGTGGTATAAAAGGTCAGTAGTGCTGACACTAAGAAAGTGATCGATCTGACAGATGAAGGTTTAGTCTAACAGGACATCTGGACACTAGTGAAGTGGAAAATATATCAGGGACAAAAAAATTGAACCAAACATCAGTTTTTCCTTCATCTTTTTTTTTCTTTTGAGACAGGGCCTTACTATGATGGCCATGCTGGTTTCCACCTCCTGGGCTCATGTGATCCTCCTGTGGCCTCCCAAACTGCTGGGATTACTGTACCTGGCCTTTTCCCTCCTTCTTTTAGTTCTGTTTGCTCCTCAAGTAATTTAGCTGGTGAACTCAGCATTCTCTTTTGACATATTTTGTAACCTCTCTAGTGAGATGGTAAGACTTTCTGAGTTGTATTCATTGATCTTTTTTTTTCTTCTTTGGGAACTGGAGTTTTGCTCTTGTTGCTCAGGCTGGAGTGCAGTGGCACAATCTTGGTTCACTGCAGCCTCTGACTCCTGGGTTCAAGTGATTCTCCTGCCTCAGCCTCCTGAGTAGCTGGGATTACAGGTGCCCGCCACCACACCTGGCTAATTTTTAGTAGAGACGAGGTTTCACCATTTTGGGCAGGCTGATCTTGAACTCCTGACCTCAGGTGATCCACCAGCCTCGGCCTCCCAAAGTGCTGGGATTACAGGCATGAGCCACTGCATCTGGCCGTATTCATTGATTTTTCTAGGCCTCGGTGGAACTGTACTAGGAAAACCAAAGGACTTACAGATCCTTTATTTATTTATTTATTTATTTGAGACGGAATCTTGCACTGTTGCCCAGGCTGGAGTGCAGTGGCACGATCTCAAGCTCACTACAAGCTCCACCTCCTGGGTTCACGCCATTCTCTTGCCTCAGCCTCCTGAGTAGCTGGGACTATAGGCGCCCGCCACCACGCCTGGCTAATTTTTTGTACTTTTAGTAGAGACGGGGTTTCACCGTGTTATCCAGGATGGTCTTGATCACCTGACCTTGTGATCCGCCTGCCTTGGCCTCCCAAAGTGATGGGATTACAGGCGTGAACACCGTGCCCGGCCCAGATCCATTATTTAGAGGTCATAATAAATAAATGATTCATGCTGACGAGTCATCTATAATCTCTTGAAGCCAGAGGCAACACCTTAGCAAATAAGTTAAAGGTCAGAAGAATAAGATTTCTGGTAGTTAGAGTTCTTAGTGGGGGAAGAGGATAGAATTTTCCCATCTCTTGGGTCTTGTATGGGAGTCAGACATCTTGTTGTATTAGAATGTTAACCTGTCAGGAGAAGAAAGGTGAAACAGTAAAAGGCATTTGTTTTTCTTCGTTCTTGTGTTTTTATTTTTTATTTATTTATTTATTTTTGAGATGGAGTCTTGCTCTGTTGCCAGGCTGGAGGGCAGTGGCGCGATCTCAGCTCACTGCAATCTCCACCTCTTGGGTACAGGCGTGAGCCACCGTGCCCAACAAGACTGCTTCTTTAAGAAGACCCATCGTGTGGCTTGGCGGCCTCACTTGTTTACAGTCCCAGAATAGTGTTGCTCAGAATACTGGGACTTGACTAAAAGAGATGTTATTCTAGTGGAGTTCAGGAATGGAAAATAGCAGGCCGGGCGTGGTGGCTCACGCCTGTAATCCCAGCGCTTTGGGAGGCTGAGGCGGGCGGATCACTTGAGGTCAGGAATTCGAGAGCAGCCTGGCTAACATGGCAAAACCCCGTGTCTACTAAAAATACAGAAATCAGCTGGGCAGGCACCTGTAGTCCCAGCTACTCAGGAGGCTGAGGCAGGAGAATTGCATGAACCCAGGGGGTGGAGGTTTCCTCTGCTATTTCCTCCCTCCCTTCCTTTCTTTCTTTCTTCCTTCCTTCCCCTTCCTTCCCCCCCCTTCCTTCCCCTCTTCCTTCCCCCCTTCCTTCCCCTCTTCCTTTCCCCCTTCCTTCCCCTTTCCTTCCCCCCTTTCCTTCCCCCTTCCCTCCCTCCCTCCCTCCCTTCTTTCCTTCCTTCCTTCCTTCCTTCCTTCCTTCCTTCCTTCCTTCCTTCCTTCCTTCCTTCCTTCCTTCAGATGGAGTCTCACTCTGTCACCCAGCTGGAGTGCAGTGGCACCATCTTGACTCACTGCAACCTCTGCTTCCCGGGTTCGTGCAATTCTCCTGCCTCAGCCTCCTGAGTAGCTGGGACTATAGGCGCCTGCCACCATGCCTGACTGATTTTTGTATTTTTAGTAGAGACGGGGTTTCACCATGTTGACCAGGCTGGTCTCAAACTCCAGACCTCAAGTGATCTGCCTCAGCCTCCCAAAGTGCTGGGATTACAGGCATGAGCCACTGCACCCGGCCCTGTATGGGAATTCTTTACCACAAACTGGGTGTACTGGTCTGCCACATGTCTGTGCCACTTCTATTTCAGGCTTGTCTGCTGTTCATTTTCTTGGCCCTGTTCTTGGCTTTCTGGTCTAGGGTAGCTTCATGGGGCTTGTTCTTTCCAGCTCCTCTTGTTTGAGATTAGCTGGTAGATAACATAACAGAAGGAAATCCTTCAGGACTTCATTCTGGTCAGTAGATCATGAGCCAGAGGGATCATAATCTTTCAAATTGTTGAATTTTCCCATTTTTCTCTTCCAATGGCCAGAGTATTATAATGTAAGGACTAATTTTGGTGCAGTAGCTGGTTAGCCCTTTGGCAAGTTCTGGTCAGAATATGAATATATCTATTATTGGTTTCTTAGGTGTCATATAAATATAACAAAAAAATAGATCTTCGTAGGAGCTGTCAAAATAATAACCAATAGTTGGGTTGGTAGTAGGGCCTCCTCCTCCATCATTGCCTTTAACACAAAGAAACTCAAGTAAAAGCCCCTTTTGTTTAGTGATATTGGTAGAGGGGAAGGCATTATATGGTGTTTACTGGGAAACACAGGGTTGAGGATGACTCAGACCAAAAGAAAGATGAAAGAAACCCTATTATGTGCCTTCAGTTTCTGCCCAGTGTCTTGTGAGCTTTTTCAGCCTGGGGATCATTCAGTTACAACAGACTCCTGGCATTTAACTTGGTACGCTATTTTGTTTTAGTACAAGGATGTTTCAAATTTGACCCATGTAAGCCATCGAAACCACTGTGAGTCAGCTTTCTAGAGAACCTGTCTTTAACTACTTTAAGACACCTTCAGTTTGCATGATTCTCTTTTTTCTTCTGGCCTGTCAATTCCTTGAAGTGATTGATTTTTCTGGAATTGAGCAGGCATTTGGCTTTTTGAGCCAGGATTAACATAATAGACATATTTCTTATTAATTTGACCTTCAGTGTTTTCCTGTGGGTGCATCTACTGGCTGAACCACCCTTGAGTTTATCCAGGAGATTATATAGGCAGATGCACTTCTGATGGCTGGTCAGACTTTTCTGGGGAGTCTTCCCTACTTCGGGAGGAGCTCTCATGAGATCATTTCTATCTGAGGTTAGAACTGCTAAATGTATCGAACACATTTGCTTGATGGGAAATCGGAGAAAAGATGTGGGGAGACCATGAAGAAGGGAAGAAAAACAAGGGTAAAGAAGTTTCAGGCAAGGGGAGTTGGAAAGACGTATGGAAAGAGACGCAGAGGAGCTTTTGAAGGTGGGGAAGGGTGGATACTTCCCTGGAGAATATTTTGTTCATTTTCCCCTTCTTTTCTTGTTTTTTTCTTTTTTTTTTTGAGATGGAGTTTCGCTCTTGTCACCCAGGCTGGAGTGCAGTGGCGCAATCTCGGCTTACTACAACCTGGGTTCAAGCGATTCACCTGCCTCAGCCTCCGAAGTAGCTGGGATTACAGGCACCTGCCACCATGCCCGGCTAATTTTTGCATTTTTAGTGGAGACGGGGTTTCATCATGTTGGCCAGGCTGGTCTTGGACTCTTGATCTCAGGTGATTTGTGCACCTTGGCCTCCCAAAGTGCTGGGATTACAGGCGTGAGCCACTGCACCTGGCCCATTTTGCCCCTCTTCTCAATGGCTTTTGGCTAGCATTGAAGAGCCTCTGTTGACTGGTTTATATGGTCAGCTTGGTCATAGCTGGAGTTCTTGGGGCAGAGAAGTTTTCCAGCCATACATAAGTAGCTGACCTCTGGCTTGACTTCACTGGAGGATAATTGGACTTCCAGGTAGCTTCTAGAATTTTCGGTCCCTTCCTGATTTCCTTCTACTTGAGACTAGGTTATTGCTGTCTTCCCCAGGAAATTTGACCCTAGATGTTAGAATACTTGAAAAGAACTGTCAGAGCCTGGTTCTGGCATGAAGTTACAGACCCTCAGGTTCAAGTGAAGGGGCAGCATGATCCTGAGCAATCCAGAATTCAAAGAGTATCCTAGAAATTCCTCTACTTTCTAGCTCAATCCCTTCTGTCTCATGAATATGTTATCTACACAGCTAAACTGTCATCTCTCATAATTTTTTCTTTCAAAGCGTTCAATATAGTTTATGTGTATCATTCTACAGCAGTCATAAATATTTATTGAATTGTCAATTGCATGCTTTCTGAGTTTCGGTAATATCTCTGAAAAAATGATTTAAAGTGAAAACTCAGATTAAATGACACTAGGGAGGAATGGCAGAGGCCTTCATTCTCTGGAATGAAGCTCTCTTTTCTGTTTTTCTGAGTAGAGGCTTTTCAAGGATCCCACAGTTCTTTTTTTTTGAGACGAAATCTCCCTCTGTTGCCCAGGCTGGAGTGCAGTGGCACTATCTCAGCTCACTGCAACCTCCGCCTCCTGGGTTCAAGCAATTCTCCTGTCTCAGCCTCCCAAGTAGCTGGGACTACAGGCACACACCACTACGTCCAGCTAATTTTGTTATTTTTAGTAAAGACAGGGTTTCATGACATTAGTCAGGCTGGTCTCGAACTCCTGACCTCAGGTGATCCACCCGCCTCAGCCTCCCAAAGTGTTGGGTTTACAAGCATGAGGCACCGTACCTGGCCCCTTGGTTCTTTTTGCATCCCCATTCTGGCCTGGTGACTCATGGGTTTAGTTTGTAATTGGTAGGTCATTGGGTGCACTATAATTTTTTTCCTTATGTCTCAGTTAACTGTTACCTACATCTGTGATATTTGACAGACAACCTATCTACCTCTTCCCCTTTTCCTTTCTTTCTCTCCCTACCTTTCCCTTTGCTTCTCCCCAACCCTCCACTTGTTTCATGAATTAAGAAATTAAATCAGTGGGATTCAGGCATGAACCACAGTGTCCAGCTATTTTTTAATTTTTAATAGAGATGGGGTCTTGCTATGTTGCCCAGGCTGGTCTCAAAGTCCTGGCCTCACATGATCCTTCTGCCTCGGCCTCCCAAAGAGCTGGGATTACAGGCGTGAGCCACCACACTGGGCCATATCATTCTTTTGAAGAAGATTGAATGTTTTCTTATGCATTTTATATATATATATATGTATGCAATCTTATTATAGGTTTCTTTTTTTTTTTCTCTTAAAACAATGTTTTAGGCCAGACATGGTGGCTCACGCCTGTAATCCCAGCACTTTGGGAGGCAGAGGCAGGTGGATCACCTGAAGTTAGGAGTTTGAGACCAGCCTGGCCAACATGGCAAAACCCCATTTCTACTAAAAATACAAAAAAATTAGCCTGGCATGGTGGTAGGCGCCTGTAATCCCAGCTACATGGAAGGCTGAGGCACTAGAATCGCTTGAACCTGGGAGGTGGAAGTTGCAGTGAGCCAAGATCATGCCACTGCACTGCAGCCTGGGCGACAGAGCAAGACTCCATCTCAAAAATAAAAATAAAATAAAATAAAATAAAAATAAAACAAAACAATCTTTTGAGAAGGGGTCTCACTCTGTTGC
Organism: Homo sapiens; assembly: GCF_000001405.40. Lineage (NCBI taxonomy): Eukaryota > Metazoa > Chordata > Mammalia > Primates > Hominidae > Homo > Homo sapiens. Next base: position 73,011,463 of record NC_000014.9, on the reverse strand, counting down.
CCAGGCTGGAGTGCAGTGGTGTGATCTCAGCTCCCTGCAACCTCCGCCTCCCTGGCTCAAGCCGTCCTTCCACCTCAGCCTCCTGAGTAGCTGAGACTACAGGCATGTGCCACCACTCCCGGTTAATTTTTTGTATTGTTAGTAGAGATGGGGTTTTGTCATGTTGCCCATTCTGGTCTCGAACCTCCTGGCCTCGAGTGATCTACTCGCCTAGGCCTCCTAAAGGGCTGGGATTACAGGTGTGAGCCACCTCCCCAGCCATATGGGTTTCTTTCTTTCTTTTTTTTTTTTTGAGACAGTGAGCTTTTAATTTTTTTAAAGGCTATTTCCAAAAACATTCAGAGGACTTGAAAGGGATTAAGTTGGTCATAAGTTACTCATGATTCAAGTGAATCTTATAGTATTCTAATTCATTTAACTTAAAACCTTGGTTTTTCTTTTTCTTTTAAGCTTTGGTTTTTGTTCCTTTGTAAAATGAATTTATAGTAGTATCTATACGTTATTGGGGTTGGGGATTGAGAAAAACATATGTAAAATCCTTCATGCAGTATCCACGTAACACACAGTAAGCATTTAAATCTATATTGACATAATTTGTTATTTAAGGATTTTCAATGAAATGTAAGAGTCCAACCCTGACTCTATAATTTTTTTTTTTGTTTTGTGTGTGGTTTTTTTTTTTTTTTTTTTTTTTTAGATGGAGTCTTGCTCTGTCACCCAGGCTGGAGTGCAGTGGCACAATCTCAGCTCACTGCAACCTCCACCTCCCCGGTTCAAGCGATTCTCCTGCCTCAACCTCCAGAGTAGCTGGGATCACAAGCGCGTGCCACCATGCCTGGCTAATTTTTTGCATTTTTTTTTTTGAGACGGAGTTTCACTCTTGTTGCCCAGGCTGGAGTGCAATGGTGCGATCTCAGCTCACTGCATCCTTTGCCTCCCGGTTCAAGTGATTCTCCTGCCTCAGCCTCCTGAGTAGCTGGGATTACAAGCATGTGCCACCACAGCCAGCTAATTTTGTATTTTTAGTAGAGAAGGGGTTTCTCCACGTTGGTCAGGCTGGTCTCGAACTCCCGACCTCAGGTGATCTGCCTGCCTTGGCCTCCCAAAGTGCTGGGATTACAGGCATGAGCCACTGCACCTGGCCAATTTTTTGTATTTTTAGTAGAGACAGGGTTTCACCATGATGGCCAGCCTAGTCTCAAACTCCTGACCTCAGGTGATCCTCCCACCTCTGGCCTCCAAAAGTTCTGGGATTACAGGTGTGACCCACTGTGCCAGCCTAGGTTTCTTTTTAATTCAAAAGATACATCCTTTTGAGGGAAGGAGTGTTAAGTATTGAATAAGGATCCTGCTTGTTCAATTATCCCTATTTCTCTGTTTTTTTTGAGACATGTTGCTCTGTTGCCTAGGCTGGAGTGCAGTGGCACCATCATAACTCAAGCAATCCTCCCACATCAGCCTCCCAGGTAGCTGGAACTACAGGCATGTACCACCATGCCCAGCTAACTGATTGATTTTTGTAGAGATGAGGTCTCATGATATTGCCCAGGCTGGTCTCTAATTCCTGGACTCAAGTAGTGCTCCGGTCTCAGCCTCCCGAACTGCTGGGATTAAAGGCATGAGCCACTATGCTCGGCCTATCCTTATTCCCTTAATGAAGCATTTATTGGAAACCTTCCCAAAGGAGAGTTTTGTTTTGTTTCGTTTTGAGATGGAGTCTCACTCTGTTGCCCAGGCAGGAGTGCAGTGGTGCAATCTCCATTCACTGCAACCTCTGCTTCCTGGGTTCAAGTGATTCTCCTGCCTCAGCCTCCTGAGTAGCTGGGATTACAGGCACGTGCCACCACGCCCACCTAATTTTTGTATTTTTAGTCGAGATGGGGGTTTCACCATGTTGGTCAGGCTGGTCTCGAACTCCTGACCTTGTGATCCTCCCGCCTCGGCCTCCCATAGTGCTGAGATTACAGGCGTGAGCCTCCGCGCCCAGCCTCCCTAAGGAGAGCTTTTACTTGGGATAATGAAATTTCCAGCTGATGGTGATGACTCTGGCTTGGGGCAAAGCAGCAATGATGTCAGTCAGCATGCCTCTAGCATTTACTACAAGTTATTCTGGGCCTCCACTGTGCTAAGTGCCTGATGTACATCATCTTATTTAATTTTTGCAGAAATCCTATGAAGTAGATTGTGTTGTTATCTTCATTTTAGAGGTGAATAACAGAGCCCCAGAGGGGTTGAATAAAGTTATCCTAAAGTCAGTGGATGATAGAGTGAGGTTGGTTGAACCTTTAATGGTGATACTATACCATTCCCTCCCCCAGAGGATATAGCGTCTAGACATTTTGTGCTGTGTTCATTCATTTATTGATCAATTGTGTCTTGATTTCCTATTTTGCGTCAGGCACTGTGCTAAGGTTACGGTAGTGAACAACACAGACCATATCTCTGCCAGCCTGGAGTACATTCTAGTTGGGGTGTTTAGCGCTGGAAGAGTGGGAAAATGTTAACAGAGGTGGTGGGTGGGAATGGAGGCTTTGAGCAAGAGAAGGGTTGAGTCAGTTGCCCAGGGTATGATTTAAACCTAACTCTCTTTTCTAGCCTGGTTTGTGTAGCTTAGCTTTTACTGTTAAGTCCTTTCTTAGCCCTCAGAATCATTCCAGAATGAAAGACCATTCTGCTTACTGACAGGCCTTTACTGGAGCTTACATCTGTTTTCACAGCTGGCCAAATATGGATATGCTATGCCACTTAAAAAGGCAGCTGCATCTCCCATCCAGAAGCTCCTCAGAAAGTTCCCTTGAGGATGAGGTGGGGCTTGGGGATGACTCGGTATTTCCAGTGTGTCCTCAGAATTCATCTTTGCCTTGGAAAGCTTTTTATTCAGATATAAATGGATTGCTGAACTGGGTGTGTTGGATGTGGTCAAAGAAACTGATCAGGGAGCTAAAAATGACTTTTTTTAAAAAAAGAATTTTTGTGGACCATCTCTGCATAGAAACACTTTTATTAGGCCAGGCATGGTGGCTTACGCCTGTAATCCCAGCACTTTGGGAGGCTGAGACGGACGGATCACTGAGGTCAGGAGTTCGAGACCAGCCTGACCAACATGGAGAAACCCCGTCTCTACTAAAAATACAAAATTAGCTGGGTGTGGTGGCACATGCCTGTAATCCCAGCTACTTAGGAAGCTGAGGCAGGAGAATCACTTGCACCCGGGAGGCAGAGGTTGCGGTGAGCCGAGATCGTGCCATTGCACTCCAGCCTGGGCAACAAGAGTGAAACTCCGTCTCACACACAAAAAAATAAAAAAAGAAACACTTTTATTTCTGCTAGGATAGGAGAGGAGCTGCAGGCAGTCTCTGTGAAGCATAGTGTCAGAAGCACCACTGGTAGTTATAAGACATGGAGAGGAATTCCTGACCTCTCAAGTAATGGAACACTTTGGGGACACTAGAGTGGAAGAAAGTGATCTTTGCCCCTGCCAAATGTGCTCAGTGTGTTTGTGAGACCAACCCCGTGACTTCAGTGTCTTCAGAAAACATTTGATTGAGAAATGATTGTGTTTTTATGTGAAACTCTAGCAACATGTACGTGGATAGACATGAGGTATACATACCCTTTAGGATAGAATGAAAAGAAATTTTCTAAACTTGCTGTGTTGAGGAAACAGATTTAATAGAACTTAAACCTTGCTATTGGAAGAAATCTAATCATTTGGACTTTAAAATAGACTGGTTACTGATCTGTTTGACATAGTTTAGGTAAAATCCTGTTTGAAATTTAGGCCATGGGGTTGGGCTCAGTGGCTCACACCTATAATCCCAAGTGCTTTGGGAGGCCAAGGAAGGAGTATTGCCTGAGGCCAGGAGTTCAAGACCAGCCTGGGCAACATAGAGAGACCCTGTCTCTACAAAAAATAAGTTTAGCCAGCTATGGTGGTGCACGCCAGTAGTCCTCCTAGCTACCTAGGAGGCTGAGGCAGGAGATTGATTGAGCCTGAGAGGTGGAGGCTGCAGTGAATCACTGTATTCCAACCTGGGCAACAGAGCAAGACCTGTCTTTAGAAAAAAAAAATTGGAGTAATGTATGATTGTAGTTGGTACAGATTAAATCTGTTTTTCCCAGGGGCCAGTACTGAAAAGACCTTGGTGCCAAACTACTTTTCTTAAGAGTGTTTTCCAGGTTTGTTGGGGTTTAACTTCTAGAATCTCTGACTGTGCTGTGTTGAACTTCCTTCCTTCCAAGGCTCTTTAGTTCCTTCCTCACCTCTTGGTTTCCCTTTTCAGGCCTCCTTGGAACAGAGCCGGTACATGGTCTTTCATTCTAGAATGATTCTGTGAGGGCTTGGAAGGAATCTCTCGAGGGAGAACATCATCATTCCCTTGGCCTGCTTGGGTCGCAGGTTGATGCTGGACACTTTTCACTACCATGAACTATTCTGAATTCTAAATTGGGGCTGGGCGCAGTGGCTTATCCCTGTAATCCCAGCACTTTGAGAGGCTAAGGCAGGCAGATCACCTGAGATCAGGGAGTTCGAGACCAGCTGGACAACATAAACCCTGTCTCTACTAAAAATACAAAAAATTACCTAGGTATGGTGGCACGTGTCTGTAGTCCCAGCTACTCAGGAGGCTGAGGCAGGATAATCGCTTGAACCAGGGAAGCAGAGGTTGCAGTAACCCAAGATTGCGGCACTGCACTCCAGCCTGGGCGACAGAGTTAGACTCTGTCTCAAAAAAAAAAAAAAAAAAAAAAAAGGAACTGGGGTGGGGGATCATTGAGTACAGTTATATTTCATTTTACAGACTCTTCTTGGGAGTCTATACAAAGTAAAAAGCTTTGGGTGAATTGGAGGGAGAGAGGGAGGTGCTGCTGGGTTTTGTAAAGGTTTTTAGACAGAGTCTTACTCTGTTGGCCAGGCTGGAGAGCAGTGGTGCAATCTCGGCTCACTGCAACCTACACCTCCTGGGTTCAAGTGATTCTCCCGCCTTAGCCTCCCGAGTAGCTGGGATTACAGGCATGTGCCACCACACCCAGCTAATTTTTATATTTTTAGTGGAGATGGGGTTTCACCACGTTGGCCAGGCTGGTCTCGAACTCCCTGCTTCAAGTGATCAACCTTCCTAGGCCTCCCAAAGTGCTGGGATTACAGGCGTGAGCCACCACGCCCAGCCTCGTAAAGATTAGTACAATATTAGATAGTTACTAAGAGCCAGCTCTAAAGCCAGTATGAATAATAATGTGTTTTGGCCGGGCGCGGTGGCTCACGCCTACAATCCCAGGACTTTGGGAGGCCCAGGCGGGCGGATCACGAGGTCAGGAGATTGAGACCATCCTGGCTAACACGGTGAAACCCCGTCTCCACTAAAAATACAAAAAATTCTCCGGGCGTGGTGGCGGGCCTGTAGTCCCAGCTACTCCAAAGGCTGAGGCAGGAGAATGGCCTGAACCGGGGAGGCGGAACTTGCAGTGAGCTGAGATCGTGCCACTGCACTCCAGCCTGGGCGACAGAGTGAGACTCCGTCTCATAAAAAAAAAAAAAATGTGTTTTGATTAGCAGGAGGTGGTTATCTGATGCAAGCAGTGAGCTCTTTCATTTTAGGTAGAATTCATTTAGATCTTACTACATTGCTGAATCAGCCCCCAAATGAGCAATTCACAGGTGCAAGCCCAGCTGCTGCTGCTGTGCACCTGGGTGTTTTCCCAGTGGACTGGTCTTTAATAATGGTTCACGTATCGAGTGCTTACTCCATGCCAGGCACTGTGCTATGCCTTTTACATACTTTATCTCTTTTAGTCCGCTGAGTGTCGCTAGGAGCTGGACATCTGTTATTATCTCATTTCCCTGAGGTGTTGAGTAGTTAAGTAACTTTCCCAAGGCCACACCATGGTTTCAAAGCCTGTAGTGGCATTCAGGTGTTTTGGACTCGCCTGAGGCCTAGCAAGCTTGGGGAAGATGGAAGGCAAAAGTTGGGGAGGGGTGGCTTTGGTATCCCTCCTGCGTTTGCTGTTGGTAAGGCCAGTGACCATTTCAAACATGTTGTCAACTTGGATGGGGTGGCCAGTTGGCCGAGCTCAGGGCCAGGTAACCTATTTAACTCCAGGATTGGAGCACCATGGGGTCACTGAGTGTAGACAAGCCGAACAAGTAGAGCTGGAGCTTCGTTCCTTCCTGGGCCCTTCCTTCCCTCATCAAAGGGAATCTTCTTATTTTTCTCTGCCTTTCCCTCCCTGACTGAAAACCGGTCTTGCTACCACCTAGGCTAGGCTGTTCTCTCCTTTCTGGCTTAGGGAAAAATACTCATGTGTTAAGGATGAATTTAGTAGTATATCAGGAAGCAAAGTAACATGAAAGGCAGAGAACTGTGCCAGAGAAGTGTGGTTTCAGTGTGCCAGCATTTTCCTGCGTATCTGTTTATTTGGTTAATTAGCACCTGCAAAGATGGTTATAGCCTCCTTTTTTTTTTTTTTTTGAGACGGGGTCTCACTGTCACCCAGGCTGGAGTACAGTGGCGTGATCTCGGCTCACTGCAAACTCTCCCCAGGCTCAAGCAATTCTCCCACCTCAGCCTCCTGAGTAGTTGAGATTACAGGGACGTGCCGCAACGCCTGGCCAATTTTTTGTATTTTTAGTAGAGATAGGGTTTTGCTAGGTTGCCAAGGCTGGTCTCAAACCCCTGGGCTCAAGTGATCCATCTGCTTTGGCCTCCCACAGTGCTGGGATTACAGGTGTGAGCCACTGCACCTGGCCTAGCCTCCTTTCACATGACGAAAATGCAGTCGGTGCACGTTAAGGGATTGTTCACTGCTTGTCAGTAGAAAAAACAGCCTGGAGCTTTGAGTTCCTCCTCCCAGGAGTATTATTTGCACTGGACTCATCTATAGGCCCAACACATGGACATCCACATTGGACATACCCCCGAATACCAAATGGCTAAGTGGTATCACCAAATGCAGGCAAGGAGTGTTTTCTTTCCATCCCATATGAGTTATATATATATATATAGTACATCATTTGGTGGACACTTAATATGAATCCCGAGACATTCAATTCTGTACCTAAATGTTCCCCCGTCCCCACTTTCAGGTGCCTGCTCTTAGATACTCAGGATAGCAGTGGCTGTTTTGTTTGTAAAGAGTCGCGACAGAGTAGATTTCCATGGGGAGAAAATCCCTAGGCCTGGTCTTCCATACCAGGCCTGGTGGAGCAGGTGGATGGCTCTTCCAGCAGCCACCCTGAGCTCACCTGACTCCGTGCCGGTAGAGCTTTACGGAGCTTTTGTTTTGTTTCTCTTGCTGGCCGACTTAGCAGCTTGGAACCAGGCTGGCTGAGTGACACGGGTCCAAAATGGGCTATTCTGTGTAACTTCTTGTTTCTCTCCGTTGTCTGCTAGATCGGTTAGCCCATCACCAAGTTTATGAAATGCTGCTGTGTGTTCAGCCCTGTGGAAGATGTATGATGGGAGAAGCGTTTAAGGTACCTGGGTACCTAACAAGGTGCCTGGCGTTTATTCACTCACTCATTCACTCAGCAGCTGTACACTGAGCTCCTCCTGTGTGCCAGGCGGTGTCCTGAGTGCTCTGCATGTAAAGATAAGGTAGACACGGCCCTGCCCTCATGGCTGTAGTGAAGGGCACTGTCACTGCAGCCGGCATTCAGTGAACTGTTAGTATTATCAGGAATATTCAGGCTCTTAATAATGAAACAATAGTGATGTCATTAATATAATAATGAGTGGTTTACTTTTTTTTTTTTCCAGTTAGAGTCTTGCTCTGTTGCCCAGGCTGGAGTGCAGTGGCACGATCTCGGCCCACTGCAACCTCCACCTCTTGGGCTCAAGTGATTCTCCTGTCCCAGCCTCCTGAGTAGCTAGGACTATAGGCGTGAACCACTACGCCCAGCTAATTTTTTGATTTTGTAGAGTTGGGGTCTTGCTATGTTGCTTAAGGTAGTCTTGAATTCCAGGGCTCAAGCGATCCTCCCGTCTTGGCCTCCCAAAGCACGGGGATTTGGTTTACTATCTTGATGAGATTATAGGAAACAAAGGTTTATCATATTTTCACACTGAGTGGTCTGTATATTTCTCTGTTATCAAACCAGCAGACTCTTGAGAATCAGCAAGGTGTTCACCTCTATAGTCCCAGCACTTTGGGAGGTGGAGAGGCAGATCACCTGAAGTCAGGAGTTTGAGACCAGCCTGGCAAACATGGCGAAATCCCATCTCTACTAAAAGTACAAAAAAAATTAGCTGGGTGTGGTGACATGTGCCTGTAGTACCAGCTACTCTGGAGGCTGAGGCAGGAGAATGGCTTGAATCCAGAAGGCGGAGGTTGCAGTGAGCTGAGATTGTGCCCCTGGACTCCAGCCTGGGTGACAGAGTGAGATCCTGTCTCAAAAAAAAAAAAAAAAAAGAAAAGAAAAAAAGGGCTGGGCACGGTGGTCACACCTGTAATCCCAGTGCTTTGGGAGGCCGAGGCGGGCGGATCACGAGGTCAGGAGATTGAGACCATCCTGGCTAACACGCTGAAACCCCATCTCTACTAAAAAATACAAAAAATTAGCCGGGCGTGGTGGCGGGCGCCTGTAGTCCCAGCTACTCTGGAGGCTGAGGCAGGAGAATGGCGTGAACCTGGGAGGTGGAGCTTGCAGTGAGCTGAGATTGCGCCACTGCACTCCAGCCTGGGCGACAGAGCTAGACTCTGTCTCAGAAAAAAAAAAAAAAAAGAAAAAGCAACGTGTTTTATTCTCTGTTGGCTGGAAGATACTTGATGTGAAGCTTCCTCACTCCTTTGGCTGCAGTAGCCATAAGCTCTTTGAATCAGGAGCTTTGACCCTGGGCTACTAAAAATACAAAAATTAGCTGGGCATGACAGCGCATGCCTGTAATCCCAGCTACTCGGGAGTTTGAGGCGGGAGAATCACTTAAACCCAGGAGGTGGAGGTTGCAGTGAGCCAAGATCATGCCACTGCACTCCAGCCTGGGCAACAGGCAAAAACTCCGTCTCAAAAAAAACAAAACCAAAACCAAAAACTGTATTGAGATGTAATTCACATACCATAATATTCACCAGTTTAAAGTATATAATTCAGTATTTTTAGTATGTTCATAAAGTTGTACAGTCCTTACCACTATCTAATTCTGGAATATTTTCATCTTTCCAAATAGAAACCCAGCTTTAGCAGTCTCTCCCTCCTCCCTCCTTCCTCTAGCAACCACTAATCTACTTGCTGTCTATGAATCTGCCTGCTCTGGACGTTTCATATAAATGGAGTCGTACACTATGTGGTCTTTTGATTGTGGCTCCTTTCACTTACCATGTTTTCAAGGGTTATCTGTGTTGTAGCATGTATCAGCACTTCATTCTTTTTTGTTGTTGTTACCCCAGTAGTGTCAAGCAAATATTATTTGATAGCCAGCTACGTTCATTTCACAAAAATGTTTTCCCAGCATTTCTACCTAAATGTTATTAGGTAACAGTGAAATTTGTATTCTTTCTTTTTCTTTTTCTTTTTTTTTCGAGACTGAATCTCGCTTTGTCGCCCAGGCTGGAGTGCAATGGTGTGATGTCAGCTCACTGCAACCTCTGCTTCCTGGGTTCAAGCGATTCTCCTGTCTCAGCCTCCCGAGTAGCTGGGATTACCGGCATGTGCCACCACGCCTGGCTAATTTTGTATTTTTAGTAGAGACGGGGTTTCTCCATGTTGGTCAGGCTGGTCTCGAGCCTCCCAAAGTGCTGGGATTACAGGTGTGAGCCACTGCGCCCAGCCGAAATTTGTATTATTTCTCTAGGGAAAATATTTGCAATTTAGCCTCTCCATATGATAATTGGGGGTGGGAGGTAGGTACAGAACTCTCACTTGTCCAGGTTATAAGCACATTTGGAGGGTAGGATTATTAATACTTTGGAAATATACAGAATATTACAAATTCTATAATTATAATCGTGAAAAGCATTTCTCATCTTTAGATGAGATCCGGTGTGTTCAGTGGGGTATGGCCATAGACAATGTCTTTAGAATAAGAGAAATGTGACGGTATTTTACATGCTTTTCTCATTCTTTCAGTCTAAGGTTAAGTATGTGAAACTTAAAGACTACTGTGGATTTTAGGAAAATCTGCTATCGTAATAGTTTTTCTCCACTAAAAAGCTAATTGAAATGATTCAGGACACAATTTCCAATAGAATCTTTCAGATGTATGATTCCCTTCAAATTTGCTAGTTTATCTATTTTCTGACCAATCTAACAAGTCAATAGGGAAATAGTATAGTGAAAAAAAGAAAAAAACAACCAATACTAGGTCAGTAGATATTACTTCAATAAATAAACAACATTTTGCAACAGCAGGAATATGCAGTCTTGCGTAGCATTCAAAGCCCCCTCTGAAGTTTAAGAAGCAAAGGTTTAGGAAGACTGAAAGGAGGAAGTGGCACAGTCATGACAGAAAACAATCAAGGCATAGATAGGAATTTCTGCCAAGTCAGGTCAAAGTAAGAGCACGTGTAAGAAATGCCCCAAAGGTGAGAATAACCGACGCATATTGAAGCAAGGGGTGGAAGTGGCTCCTTCCTTTTTATGGCTGCGTGGTAACTCAGTGTGTGGATATACCACATTTTATCAGTGGATGGGTATTGGGCTGTTTTCACTTTTTTGGCTGTTATGGATAATGCTGCTGTGAACATTGATGTACTTAGAAGATTTGTGTGGACATGTGTTTTCAGTTCTCTTGGGTATATAGCTAGATGTGGACAAGCTGTTTTCCGGACTGGCTATGTGATTTTACGTTCCCACCAGAAGTGCATGAACATTGTGATTCTGTACATCCTTGCCAATGCTTGTTGTCTTTTTTTTTTTTTTCTTTAGAGACAGAGCTTCTCTCTGTCACCCATCCTGGAGTGGAGTGGTGCAGTCATGGTTCACTGTAGCCTCGAACTCCTGAGCTCAAACGATCCTCTTGCTTCAGCCTCCTGAGTAGCTAGGATTACAGGCGCATACCACCATGCCCAGCTAATTTTTAATTTTTTTTATAGAGACAGAGGTCGCACCATGTTGGCCAGGCTGGTCTCAAACTCCTGGCCTCAAGCTATCCTCTCTTTTTTGCCTCCCAAAGTACTGGGATTATAGGCCTGAGCCACTGCTCCCAGCCGTTTGTTGTCTTGTGGATATGAAGTGATAGCTCACTGTAGTTTTGCTTTGCATTTCTCTAATGACTCAGGACTTGGAGCATCTTTTCAGATGCTTATTGGTTGCTTGCATATCTTTTATGGAGAAATGTCTATTCAAATTCTTTGCTTACTTTTTAATTGGGTTGCTTATCTTCATTGTTGAGTTGTAAGATTTCTTTGTATGTTTGGAATACTAGTCTTATTAGATTTATTTTATTTTATTTTATCTTATTTTATTTTTTGAGACAGGTTCTTGTTCTGTCACCCAGACTGGAGTGCAGTGGCACAATCTCGGCTCACTGCAGTCTGCCTCCCGGGTTCAAGCAATTCTCCTGCCTCAGCCTCCCGAGTAGCTGGGATTACAGGCATGTGCCACCACACTCTGCTAATTTTTGTGTTTTTAGTAGAGACGGGGGTTTCACCATGTTGGCCAGGCTGGTCTCGAACTCCTGGCCTCACGCGATCTGCCCCTCTGGGCCTCCCAAAGTGCTGAGATTACAGACATGAGCTACCATGCCCCGCCTCTTTGTTTATTTTAATGAGGCGGATGACACTGTTTCCCAGGGTGGCTGTAAACTCCTGGGCTCAAGTGATCCTCTTGCCTCAGCCTTGTTGAGTGTCTGAGATTACAAATGGATGCCACCATGCCTGGCTCCTTATCAGATATTTGATCTACAAATGTTTTCTTCCATTCTGTAAGTTGTCTTTTCATTGTCTTTTTTTTTTTTGAGTCAAGGTCTTACTTTGTCATCCAGTCTGGATCACAGTTCACTGTAACCTCCAACTCCTGGGCTTGAGCCATCTTCCCACCTCAGCCTCTGCAGTAGCTGGGACTACAGGCATGCACTCAGCTATGTATTTATTTATTGATTTGAAATGGAGTTTCGTTCTTGTTGCCCAGGCTGGAGTGCAATGGTGCGATCGCTGCTCACTGCAACCTCTGCTTCCCGGGTTCAAGTGATTCTCCTGCCATAGCCTCCTGAGTAGCTGGGATTACAGGCATGTGCCACCATGCCCAGCTAATTTTGTATTTTTGTAGAGATGGGGTTTGTCCATGTTGGTCAGGCTGGTCTTGAACTCCTGACCTCAGGGGATCTGCCTGCCTTGGCCTCACAAAGTGTTGGGATTACAGGTGTGAGCCACCGCACCCGGCCTCATTTTTTATTTTTTGTAGTGACACAGGGTCTTGTTACGTTGCCAGACTGCACTTGAACTCCTAGGCTCAAGCAGTTCTCCTGCCTTGGTCTCTCAAGGTGTTGGGATTATAGCCACTGCTCCTGGCTAGATCAAGTCTAATTTATCTATTTTTTCTTTTTATTTAGTTATTATTTTAAAATTTTTAATATTTTTAAAATTTTTAGCAGAGACAGGATTTCACCATGTTGCCCAGGCTGGTCTTGGACTCCTGAGTCACCTCACTTGGCCCCACCCCCCTTTCTTTTTTTTTTTTGAGGCAGGGTCTCATTCTGTTGCCCATGCTGGAGTGCAGTAGCACTGTCATAGCTCACTGCAGCCTCAAACTTCTGGGCTCAAGGGATCCTCCCTCCTCAGCCTCCTGAAGTGCCACTGTTACATGCGTGAACCACCACACCTGGCCTTATCTGTTTTTTCTTTTGTTACTTGTGCTTGTGTTGTCCTATCTAAGGAACTATAGACTAATCCAAAGTCACAAAGGTTAATTACTTTGTTTTCCTCTAAGAGTTTTACGGTTTTAGCTCCTTTTTTTTGTTTTTTTCTTTTCTTTTCTTTTCTTTTTCTTTTTATAGTTTTAGCTCTTTTGGCCACTAAGTTATTTCCCTGACTAAAGCTTCAGAGGTTCCTTTGAGCTGTTTGCTAAGGGTGGAGGTGGGGAGCTATTATCCTGTGACTTCCTTTCTTTGACAATTCAATCAAGTTCCTTGTCCTTGGGAAGCACTTCTTCTTGTAGGTGTTTCTAGTGCTTTTACAGTTTCTGTATTTCATGGTCTTTTTTTTTTTTTTTGCAGGTAACAAATGAAGAAGACTTTATTAGAAAATTGGACTGCAAACCTGATCAGCATCTGAAAGTGGTTTCCATTTTTGGAAATACTGGTGATGGAAAGTCTCATACTCTCAACCACACTTTCTTTTATGGTCGTGAAGTCTTTAAAACCTCCCCGACCCAGGAGTCCTGCACTGTGGGAGTGTGGGCAGCCTATGACCCAGTTCACAAAGTAGCAGTGATCGATACGGAAGGGCTCCTGGGGGCCACCGTGAATCTAAGCCAGAGAACACGGCTGCTGCTTAAGGTCCTGGCCATCTCAGACCTCGTCATCTATCGAACTCATGCAGACCGGCTGCATAACGACCTCTTCAAATTCCTTGGGGATGCCTCAGAAGCTTATCTGAAGCACTTCACCAAGGAGCTCAAGGCCACCACTGCTCGCTGTGGCCTGGATGTCCCTTTATCCACACTGGGCCCTGCAGTTATCATCTTCCATGAGACCGTGCACACCCAGCTACTGGGCTCTGGTGAGAGATGGGGTACAGTGTCACAGCTCAACCTTTATGGGTACAAGGAGGCAGCTATTTGGTCTGCAATAGCAACTTGTTGGTAGTGGATTGCCCAGAAAGATTTCTGTCCAAAGAAGACATAGAAAGTGTTTCAAGGAGGATGGAGTGATCAAACATGTCAATCTGCTTATAGGTCAACTAGCATAAGGATTGAGAATTGCCAATTGGCTTTGGCAATATATAAGTCCTTAGTGATCTGGATAAGACCTGTTCCCTGAGATGGTGGGGGGTAAAAGCTTGATCAGAGTGAGATCAAGAGAAAATAGGAGGAAGCCAGGTACAGTGGCAAGTGCCTGTAATTCTAGCTACCTGGGAGGCTCATGTGGGAGAATCCCTTGAGCCCAAGAGTTAGAGATCAGCCTGGGCAACATAGTGAGGCTATGTCTCTAAAAAAAAAATAAGATTAGGAGAAGAATTACTTTATTCAATTCTTTGACAGAGTTCTGTAAAGCAAAGAAGAACAATGAGATTGTAGCTGGAGGCTGATGTGGGATTTCAAGGGATTTTTCTTTTTTAAAATTTAAGATGTGACGTATTGCAGATATTTATGTACTGATGAGAATGATTCATTAGAGAGGGAAGAATGTAGATGTAAGAGAGCAGGAACAGTTGGAGTGATGCATGAGTGGAAGGGTCGGCCTTAGGACCACGGACAGTTCATCCATAACAATGGGAAAGAAAGTAGACAATATGGACACGGTCGCAGATAAGAAGATGGATGTGGACATGGGACGTGTGTGTGTAAGTTCTTATTTGTTTTCTTAGAGAAATAGGAAGCAAGATTGTCACCTGAGTGGTAGGAGGATGGGGGAAAGGTGCAATAACAGATTAGATAGGAGGGGAGCAGTAAATTTGGCTCCTGAAACAATTGCAATCTTCACTTGTTCATTCGGTCATCAAAGTTTATTGAGTGCATATGTCATGTGCTGAGCACTGAGGCACAGAGCAGAAAAAACACTTCCTGTCTTTGAAGAGCTCACAGTCTAGTTGGGGCGACCGCACGGTGTTCTGTGCATACCTCCGTACTTACAGGTACGGTGCTGTGGGAGTCCAGAGCAAGGACACTACACCTTATGGAATCTAGGAAAGAAGAGGCGACATTTGAGCTCTGAGAGACTTGGCTAGATGGAGGAGGGGAAGAAGATGCTCTAGGAAGAGCAAACTCCTAGTAGCTTCAAGGAACAAATTGCGTTCAGAGAACTGCAGGTAGGGCTGGGTGTGGTGGCTCACACCTGTAATCTCAGCACTTTGGGAGGCCAAGGCAGGAGGATCCCTTGAGCCTGAGAGGTTGAGGCTGCAGTGAGCTGTGATCGTGTTATTGCACTCCAGCCTGGGCAATAGTGAGACCCTGTCTCAAAAAAAGAAGGAAAGAAAAAAGAGACAAGGGAAGTAGTTCTGCAATAACTTCCAAAATTCCATTCTAACTCCCTTCAATGCATTCTCCATGTAGCATCCAATGTGATCTTTTCAAAAGCTTAATTTACACTTCAGATCATGTATACTTCTGCTTGCAGCCTTGTCAGTGGCTTTTGACTACATCAAAATCCAAACTCCTAAATGTAGTGCCATCACTTTAACTCCTACCTTTGTCTCTGACCTCCTTTAGTTACCCCTTTTCATTCTCCCCCTGCCCACTGAATGCAGCCCCTCCCCTGCCACCCCGACTGCCATGTTTGAAGCATGGCTTGTGTGGGAGGGAATGATGGAGAGACTCAGGGATCAGATCATGGGTGGCCTTGACTCAGTTCTCAAGTATGGCAGGAGTCCATGAAGGATCTTAAGCAGAGAGTTAGATGGCCAGATCTATATTTTCAAAAGATTCCCTGGCAGCCTATTGCAGGATGACTGAGGCAGGGGGACCAGTCAGCAGGATATCAAGTCACTCAAGTGAGAAGTGGTTGGGATTCAGCCAGGGCAGTGGCAGTAGGAGGGAAGTGCACAGAGTAGGCCATAAAGGAGGTTGAATCTGAAGGACCTGGCACCAGTTGATTCTGGTGGTACCAATGACACATGCCCTATAGAAGATAATACATGTAAATGTTCCCCAGTGAAGGAGCAGATTAATTAGCAAGTGCCTCGAAGATAAGGAGAGGAGGTGACAAATGCTGACTTTCAGCTGCCTCCTGTGATCAATACTTTTATGCCACTTTGGATCTTTACAGTTTTAGTGAGGGGAAGGTTTAATTGCCAGTTCAGGATTTTGAAGTAACCAGCCCCTGAAAAGTTATTGTATTTTAGGCTGAGCACGATGACTTCTGCCTATAGTCCAGCACTTTGGGACATTGAGGCGGGAGGATCACTAGAGCCCAGGAGTTTGAGACCAGCCTGGGCAAAATAGCAAGACTCTGACTCTACAAAAACATTAAAAAGTTAGCCAGTTGCAGTGGTACATACCTGTGGTCCCAGCTCTTTGGGAGGCCAAGGTGGGCGGATCACTTGAGGTTTGGGGTTTGAGACCAGCCTGGCCAACATGGTGAAACCCTGTCTCTACTAAAAATACAACAATTAGTCAAGTGTATGGTGGTGGGCACCTGTAATCCCAGCTACTCAGGAGGCTGAGGCAGGAGAATCGCTTGAACCCTGGAGGTGGAGGTTGCAGTGAGCCGAGATTGCACCACTGCACTCCATCCAGACTGGGCAACAGAGTGAGACTTCGTCTCAAAAAGTAAGTAATTAAGTAAGTAAGTAAATAAATAAATAAATAAATAAAAAGGAAATTAAAAAGTCCTTTCAACCTTTATCACCGATACATTTATTGAATCCATCTGTGCTATGGCTGCCCAAGTTTCTGGACAAATGATGAGAGTGTGGGCAAGCAAATACCCTTATACATTGGTAGTTTGCCCAGAGCTTCCTCACAAAAGACCAGAATTTTCAAAGTACAGAGAATTGTAAAAGTTCATCAGGAAGGTGATTAGTTAAGTATATCCACAGGATCGAAGACTGTATTGCTGCTTTTGAGTGTATTGTGACAAGGACAGGTACTTACAGTATGTTATTAAGTGAGAAAAGAGCAAGTTGCATATATATGTTGCTAAGTCTGTAGGAAAAATGTCTGAAAGGGCCAATATTGAGCTGTGGTTACTTTCGGGAAGTAGGTGAGAGCAGAGGACATAATTTCTTTCCTTTTATGCTTTGGCATATCTAGATTTTTCCAATGAATGGGTTTTTGGGAAAAAAGACTCCTCCTTGAAGTGTAATGTGCATACAGAACAGTGCGTATCATATCAAGGTATCATGTGATGAGTTTTCACTGCCTGAATGCCCCTGCGTACTCAATGCTAGACCATAGGACACCAGCCCTCCTCATAGAAGCCCTCCTCATGTCCTTTACCAGGAAAGGGTAACCTGAGTTCTCACAGCATAGATCAGCTCTGCCTGCTTATGTACTTCATGTACATTGAGTCAGAGTATCTTACTTTTTTTTTTTTTTTTTTTTTTTTTTTGAGACAGCGTCTCGCTCTGTCTCCCAGGCTGGAGTGCAGTGGTGCGATCCCGGCTCACTGCAACCTCTGCCTCCCAGGTTCAAGCAATTCTTCTGCCTCAGCATCCTGAGTAGCTGGGATTACAGGCGTGCACCACTAGGCCCGACTAATTTTTGTATTTTTAGTAGAGATGGGGTTTTACCACGTTGGCCAGGCTGGTCTCGAACTCCCGACCTCAGGTGATCCACCCACCTCAGCTTCCCAAAGTGCTGGGATTACAGGTGTGAACCACTGCACCCTCCCGTATCTTACTTTTTTTTTTTTTTTTTTGAGACGGAATCTCTCTCTGTCGCCAGGCTGGAGTGCAGTGGCGCGATCTTGGCTCACTGCAACCTCCACTTCCCAGGTTCAAGTGATTCTCCTGCCTCAGCCTCCTGAATAGCTGGGATTACAGGCACCTGCCACCACGCTTGGCTAGTATTTTTAGTAGAGATGGCATTTCACCATGTTGCCAGGATGGTCTCCATCTCTTGACCTGGTGATCCACCTGCCTCGGCCTCCCATAATGCTGGGATTACAGGTGTGAGCCACCGCACCCAGCCTCGTATCTTACTTTTATAATGAAAGATTTTTGTTGTTGTTGTTTGAGATAGAGTCACTTTTGTCTCCCAGGCTATAGTGCAGTGGTGCGATTTCAGCTTACTGCAACCTTCGCCTCCTGGGTTCAAGCGATTCTCCTGCCTCAGCCTCTGGACTAGTAGGGATTACAGGCATGCGCCACCACGCCCTGCTAATTTTTTTGTATTATTAGTAGAGACAGGGTTTCACCATGTTGGCCAGGCTGAACTCCTGACCTCGGGTGATCCACCCACCTTGGCCTCCCAAAGTGCTAGGGTTACAGGTGTGGGCCACCGTGCCTGGCCTACTTTTTTTTTTTTTTTTAAATGTCACTCACTACCCATGTGCCTGTGTTTCTGCTTGTATAGATCATCCCTCAGAGGTGCCAGAGAAGCTCATCCAGGACCGGTTCCGGAAGCTGGGCCGTTTCCCTGAAGCCTTTAGTTCCATTCACTACAAGGGAACGAGGACTTACAACCCTCCCACGGACTTTTCTGGGCTTCGGCGTGCTTTGGAGCAGCTACTAGAGAATAACACCACCCGTTCTCCCCGGCACCCGGGAGTCATCTTCAAAGCCCTGAAGGTCAGTTGGCTTGTGCCCCAAGGGCTTCTCATTGGGGTGCCAGTGGGTGGTGAGAACACTCAGTTCGCCAGCTTTTGTGGTGCTGGTGATTGGAAATCTGGGTGGAAAGAGGTTATAAGAAGCGGAAGCACATGAATGGAGTCCGCACCTGTCAGATGCTTTCATCTTGCCAGGAGTGCAAATATGGGGAAGTCATATGTGATAGTAAAAAAAGTGCCCGGTCCTCAGCTAGGAGAAAAACCAGGCACTCATTTCTGGCTGGTGTGGCTCAGCCCTGGTGAGTTGGTGTCATGTTGAGTCTCACTTAATCTGGACAGCCTTTATGCTTTTCTTAACATTGACTCACTGTTTTTTTCTTATTTAAATTAATTTATTCATAGAGGAAACTTTTTGTTATCACTATAAGCGGAAAACTAGTATCACAGGTAGAAATTGTTTTTTGTTCGGGGGGCGTTTAGGAGCAGAGGTTTGATAGGCAAAAGAAAGAGAAAGAACAGCTCTCTCTCTCTTGCAAGGGGCGGGGGGGGCACCTGAATGGGACCTCCCCCCAGAGGTAGAAAATTACCAAAACAAAACACAAAAATAGATACACAATAACACTACTATTTGTTATATACCAAAGTTCAGAGTACTCTGTATGGATTAGTTCACTTAATCCTTACACCAACTCCATGAGTTAAGTACTGTTAACATCCTCATTTACAGATGAGGAAACGGAGGCACCAAGAGATGTAGTAATTGGTTATACACAGTTGGTGAGTGACAGCAGGCCTAACACCTGGCCAGTTTACGCTAGAGCTCCTTCTCATAACCACAAAGCCTGTACTGCCTCTCAACAAATAAAATCGCCTATTATTCCTTAGCTAGAGACTATTACGCATGGAAGGTTCTGAGACTGGGTCCTGTTTTTTCTTTCTTTAAGAGGGAGATTTACAGCCAGGCGTGGTGGCTCACGCCTGTAATTCCAGCACTTTGGGAGGCCGAGGCGGGTGGATCACTTGAGGTCAGGTGTTTGAGACTAGCCTGGCCAACATGGTGAAACCCCCTTTCTACTAAAAATACAAAAAAATTA
This sequence comes from Homo sapiens, assembly GCF_000001405.40. Taxonomy (NCBI): domain Eukaryota; kingdom Metazoa; phylum Chordata; class Mammalia; order Primates; family Hominidae; genus Homo; species Homo sapiens. Next base: position 72,992,070 of record NC_000014.9, on the reverse strand, counting down.
GCCGGGCATGGTGGCGCACTCCTGTAATCCTAGCTACTTGGGAGGCTGAGGCAGGAGAATTGCTTGAATCCGGGAGGCAGACGTTGCAGTGAGCCGAGATTGTCCCACTGCACTCCAGCCTGGGAGACAGAGCGAGATGCTGTCTCAAAAAAAAAAAAAGAGGGAGATTTGGCCTCTTAAAGAGAGGTGGGGATTAAATGAAAGCATACTTAAGAGACAAAGTACTTGTTATATAGTAAAAATGTTCAGTGAATGTTAATTGTGAATAATATTAAGGAAAAACTATTGAAAATGATTACATTTGAATAATTCATGAAATACATACATTTCCAGTTAGAATTTGAAGTTCAAGTGCACTTAGTTGTATTGGCTAATAATGTCCTTGTAGTGGCTCAAAGGCAGTGAAAACGGAAGATGACGCTTACCTAATGCAAACATTCTGAAAAGACGCTGAATCAGGCAAAGGGGCTGTAAATCTGATCACTGTGCATTATAAGGCAAATAGGCCAGAGGCTGGATTATAGCAGCTCCTTTGCTCTTCTGGAAGCTAACCCAGATTAATGTTTAAGTAAGACCATCAGGGGCCGGGCGCGGTGGCTCACGCCTGTAATCCCAGCACTTTGGGAAGCCGAGGCGGGCGGATCACGAGGTCAGGAGATCGAGACCATCCTGGCTAACACGGTGAAACCCCGTCTCTACTAAAAATACAAAAAATTAGCCGGGTGTGGTAGCGGGCACCTGTAGTCCCAGCTACTTGGGAGGCTGAGGCAGGAGAATGGCGTGAACCCGGGAGGCGGAGCTTGCAGTGAGCCGAGATGGCGCCACTGCACTCCAGCCTGGGCAACAGAGCGAGACTCCGTCTCAAAAAAAAAAAAAAAAAAAAAAAATACCATCAGGGACACTGAGCACTGTAAACTGTAATTAGTGCTCAGGGATTTTTCCCCTCAGAAGTCTTGGATGTCCTACCTCAGGCCAATTTATTACTGGCTTTGAGAAAAATAGTTAGACTGTATTCTTCCGAGGTGGTAAGCGTCACCAAGCTTTCTGCGATTAAAATGAACCTGGTCTGTCGGGTGAGGTGGCTCATGCCTGTAATCATTCCCAGCACTTTGAGAGGCGGAGGTGGGCAGGTCACGTGAGGCTAGGAGTTCGAGGCCAGCCTGGCCAACATGGTGAAACCTGTCTCTACTAAAAATACAAAAATTAGCTGGGCGTGGTGGCAGACTCTTGTAATCCCAGCTACTAGGGAGGCTGAGGCAGGAGAATCACTTGAACCTGGGAGGTGGAGGTTGCAGTGGGCCGAGTACAGTGCGCCACTGTACTCTAGCCCAGGCAACAGACCTAGACTCCCTCTCAAAAAAAAAAAAAAAAAAAAAAAAAAGGCCAGGTGCGGTGGCTCACGCCCTTAATTCCAGCACTTCAGGAGGCAGATGGATCACCTGAGGTTGGGAGTTCGAGACCAGCCTGACCAACATGGAGCAACCACGTCTCTACTAAAAATACGAAATTAGCTGCGCGTGGTGGTGCGTGGCTGTAATCCCAGCTACTCAGGAGGCTGAGGCAGGAGAATTGCTTGAATTTGAGAGGCGGAGGTTGCAGTGAGCTGAGATCTTGCCACCGCACTCCAGCCTGGGCAAGAAGAGCGAAACTCCATCTCAAAAAAAAAAAAAGAACCTGTTCAGCTGGAATTCTGATGATTCCTGGTAACTGGCATCCTCAAAATTTCACCGAGATCTGATATTTTCTATTCTCTGAGGTATAGGGGCTGTGTTATACTGAGCTATGGGACTGAATTCTTTTGTCTATGGGAAGGAGTCAATTTGTTTAAGCTTGTGATTTGGGTTCTCCCTAGAGAATTTTGCAGTTGTTGCAGTTTACCCAAATCTTTGAAAAAATTGGTTTTGTACTTTTTTGTTTTAAACATCCTTTAAATTAAAAATGCTTAATTCTCTGGTTATCACTCTAATAGCCACTTTTAAGGTCTGCCTTAGGCAAATTGACCAAGTAGAGTTTTATTGTTAAAATAGACTCTAACTAAAGTTTTCATAGTTCATAGCAGTGTATAATATAAATGGCTGTCTTTTCTTCTCCACTTGTTTTTATTTTGTTTTATGCTGTTGTATTAATTTTTTTTTATTAGTAGCCTTGAGTCCTTTTGAGATAAAAGAGTTGGGGTGGGTATAAACAGATAAATGACACGTCAGAATAATTTGTTTGATTTCTTGAATCTCCCATTTTTTCTTTCTTTTTTTCTTTTTCTTTTTTTTTCTTTTGAGACAGGGTCTTGCTCTGTTGCCCAGGCTGGAGTGCAGTGGTGTGATCACAGCTCACTGTACTCCAGCCTCTCACAGCCACTGCACCAGGCCCCAAGAGCTTTTAACTTCATGCTGTATTCCTTCCCAATAGTTATTTCGCTTCTAAAGAGGTCAGAGGATGGGACCATTTTAAAAGGTTCCTGATACATACTGTCAGTTATATTTGAGTATTTGGTTATTTTAATTAAAACAGAGATGTCATTTTAAAAATTATAAAAGCAATGCATATTCATGATAAACAATTCAAGTACTGCAGAATGTATGAGACTTAAGTCCCCTTTCCTTCCCCTACCTCCCCCCTCCTCAGTCTGTAGAGCTAACTCTTAATACTTTCTCACATAAGTGTCTAGAAATTTTTATTGCTGTGTAAGCACATGCATAAATATATGTTATAATGTATGTTTTTCTTCCTGAATAAATGGGATCATAGTAAAGTTAAATCCTTTTCCCCTGCCTAGTGTCCTTTTCTAACTCTGCAGATAACCATTATTAGTAGTTTATTATATATGCTTATAGAAATTGCAAATGCTGGCTGGGTGCTGTGGCTCATGCCTGTAATCCCAGCACTTTGGGAGGCTGAGACAGGCAGATCACGAGGTCAGGAGTTCAAGAGCAGCCTGGCCAACATAGTGAAACCCCATCTCTATTAAAAATACAAAAATTAGCTGGGTGTGGTGGCGGGTGCCTGTAGTCCCAGCTACTTGGGATGCTGAGGCAGAATGGCTTGAACCCCTGGAGGTGGAGGTTGCAGTTTGCTGAGATTGCGCCATTGTACTCTGTCCTGGGCGACACAGCAAGACTGTCTCAAAAAAAAAAAAAAAAAAAAGAAGAAATTGCAAATGCTGTAAAAGTGCATGTGCGTGTATGTATATATATCCTTCATAAATGAGATCATACCATTTATATTATTCTATGATTTGGTTTATTTTCACTTTTTTTTTTTTTTTTTGAGACAGAGTCTTGCTCTGTCACTCAGGCTGGAGTACAGTGATGCAAACTTGGCTCACTGAAACCTCTGACTCCCAGGTTCAAGTGATTCTCATGCCTCAGCCTCCCAAGTAGCCTGGATTACGGGCACACACCACCATGCCTAGCTAATTTTTGTATTTTTAGTAGAGACGGGGTTTCACCATGTTGGCCAGGCTGGCCTGGAACTCCTGACCTCAGGTGACCCGCCCACCTCCGCCTCCCAAAATGTTGGGATTACAGGTGTGAGCCACTGTGCCAGGCCCGAAATGCCTATTTTAAATGCCATTAGTATATTTAAAAAAAAAGTTATTAGGCCAGGTGCAGTGGCTCACGCCTGTAATCCCAGCACTTTGGGAGGCTGAAGCAGGCAGATCACCTGAGGTCACGAGTTCGAGACCAGCCTGGCCAACACGGCAAAACCCCATCTCTGTGAAAAATACAAAAATTAGCCAGCCGTGATGGTGTGTGCCTGTAATCCCAGCTACCCGGGAGGCTGAATCAGGAGAATCCCTTGAACCCCGGAGACGGAGGTTGCAGTGAGCTCAGATTGTGCCACTACACTCTAGCCTGGGTGACAGAGCAAGACTCTGTCTCAAAAAAAAAAAAAAAAATGTTGTTAGCCCTATCTTATTTTTGAAGTTCCACCTGATTGATGCAGTACTCTGTTGGATTCAAAGGAAGTCAAAGTACTACTTTTTGTGTTTATTATTGACCGGGAAATGTGGATTTGGAAATGTGATGAATGAGAAGAACAGTTTTTGGTGTGCACACATGCATGCACATATGTGTGTGTGTGAGAGAGAGACAGAGAGAGAGCTATGCAGCTGTTTTCTGCCCTAGTGGCTTGCCCATACATACCTGGGAGTGGTTTCTCTATTCCTCCTGCTGACAGGATCACTTTTGATGTCATTCAGCCACACTGTTGTGCAGGCCCCAGGCCCCTTTTTTTCTAGCTGGCTTATGTCCCATTTCTTGACTCCTTTGCTCAGGGTCCACAATAGCAACAGCCCAGATACCTACAAGCAGCGCATACCTGCACTGAGCAGATAAACCTGCTTGCAGGAAATAAATGCTCAGGTCTCTATCGAATAGAGGAATTAATATTCAATACTGGAATTGAATATTGAGTTAACTATGGTTGTCTGTACTTACAGTTCTGAATAGTTGGGAGAACCATTTCATAGTTGAATTTGTATAGGTTTTATGTAATTTTGTCTTAATTTTTTTTTTTAAGACAGGGTCTGGCTCTGTGTCCCCTAGGCACCATCTAGACTCATTGCAACCTCTGCCTCCTGGGCCCAAGCCATCATCCCACCGCAGCCTCTCAAGTAGCTAGGACTAACAGGCACACGCCACCACACCTGGCTAATTTTTGTATTTTTTGTAGAGACAGGGTTTTTGCCTGTTGCCCAGGCTGGTCTTGAACTCCTGAGCTTGAGGTATCTGTCTGCCTTGGCCTCCCAAAGTGATGGGATTACCAGGAGTGATCCACTGTGCCCAGCCTTTATGTACCTTCTTTAACCTCTGAGCTCTAAATGTAGAAACTCTTGACGTTCCAATTCTGTCACATCGGGAAGCATTTATGAAGTATTTATAAAGTTATGTTTTGTTGGGGTGTGATGTCACTGATGACAGAAGTGTGTCCCTTTTGAGTCAGGAAATTCATTGCTAGCCCTTGATGACTGGGGCCAGCCCTATAGATACAATAGAAAGAGCCACACTGTTGTCAAGGCAACTAAAGTTCAAGATCATCTGGTCTCCAGGCAACCTTTTCCAGACTTGCCTCAAATGCTTTCCCAAGCTTTCTTGGGGTAGGTGGGCCCTTCCCTGCCTTTCTCTTCTAGCTTTGGGATCTCAGGAGGAGGAGAACCCAAGAAACTGTGGAATGATGTGAGGTTTGGAATTTTTGAACCTGCTAATAAGTATATGGATCAGGTGGTATGTAAAGAAAAATCAGGGCCGGGCGCAGTGGCTCACGCCTGTAATCCCAACATTTTTGCAGGCTGAGGCAGGTGGATCACTTGAGGTCAGGAGTTTGAGACCAGCCTGGCCAACATGGTGAAACCCTGTCTCTATTAAAAATACAAAAAATCAGCTGGGCATGGTGGCACGCGCCTGTAGTCCCAGCTACTTGGGAGGCGGAGATTGCAGTGAGCCAAGATCACGCCACTGCACCCAGCCTGGGTGATAGAGCGAGACTCTGTCTCAAAAAAAAAAAAAAAAGGAAAAGCTGATTAGATTCTAAAAGAGGAGTTTCTCCCTACTCTTGCATCTAAAACATGCTAACGTTGGATTTTTTTTTTTTTTTTTTAACAGTTACTGTTATTTTCCCACACTCTTGATTCTTGTAAAGCCTCCTGAAACTTGTCAAGGTCTGATTCATTAGTCAGGCTGTGACTTGTGAACGAGTGAGATGCTTGTTCTTACCTCATATGCAAGAGTGTCAGTGGCCAGCATCTGAAGGCTGGCTTGCCTGGAGTCTCTTTCTTATGTCATAAGTGGTTACCTGTTACCTTGGACAACATAAGCCAACAGTTCATTTGTCTAGGGCAGGGAATGATGGCATATGTACTGTGGCAAATCAGGCTGCAGATTGTTTCACACCAAGCCTTGAGATACTTACAAATGCCCCCATTTCTCTGAAGAACTTTCAGAGAAGTGAACCAGGTCACTTGGGTTGAAACAGTAAGAACCTTACGCTGTATTGGATCCTAATTTCCCATTTACTGGGAGTTGGCATCCTCTGTGAATTCAACCCAGCTGTTGCACTCATGCCAGATTTATATCATTTGTCCTTAGGAAAACCAATACTTAGGCTAGCCTTTCAGTTACCTGTTTAAAAGAAAAACTCTGCGGCTAAAAATTGCTATTCTTGGCTGGGCACAGTGGCTCACGCCTATAATCCCAGCAGTTTGGAAGGCTGAGGCAGGAGAATGGCTTGAGTCCAGGAGACCAGCCTGGGCAACATAGTAAGACCCTGTCTCATTTTAAAAAATGAAAATAATAAAAAATAATTTGCTATTCTTTTTTTTTTTTTAAATAATAATTGCTATTCTTTGGTGTTCTCTATACCTTCTGTAGTGGCTTCTATATTCCTTAGCTGTGTCTCCTCTTTTTTTCTTTCTGTATCATCTCATTAGATACTTCAGCATCTTGGCCAGGTGCGGTGGCTCACGCCTGTAACCCCAGCACCTTGGGAGGCTGAGTTGGGTGGATCACTTGAGGTCAGGAGTTCGAGACCAGCCTGACCAACATGGTGAAACCCTGTCTCTACTAAAAAAAAAAAAATTATCCATACATTGTGGTAGGGGCCCGTAATCCCAGCTACTTGGGAGGCTGGTGCAGGAGAATCGCTTGAACCAGGAGGCAGAGGTTGCAGTGAGCCAAGATCATGCCACTGCACTCCAACCTGGGTGACGGAGCGAGACTGTCTCAATAACAAAACAAAAACAAACAAACAAAAATTATTGGGGCATGGTGGCATTTGCCTGTGATCCCAGCTACTTGGGAGGCTGAGGGAAGAGGATTGCTTGGGCTTAGGAGGGTGATGCTGCAGTGAGCTGTGAACATGCCACTGCACTCCAGCCTGGGTCACTGAGTGAGACTCTGTCTCAATAAAAAAGCTGCCTTTTCCCATCAGGTGTCTTCAGAGTGTTCTGTACATATCTTTGAGAAACAGCCTGGAGAGTTATTGATAATTTGGCCAGTTAGGGAGTAGTTAGCCTTAAATTTGAGAGGACCTCTGGGGATGGGATGAAAGAAGCCTAGGGCAAGGGCAGGGCCAGGAGAGGAGGAGGGCAAGGTTGGTTTGTGAAGGGGAGTTGGTGCTGGGCACTTATTCCAGCAGTTCTAGCTGAGTACCTGTTAGGTCCTTTGCTAGGATTTGGAGGAGGATGCAAAGGTAGGAAGCTGCTTTCACAGTATTTATGATCTAGTCCTGGAGATAAAATACAGCAAACCCATAGCTTTGCATCATTGCCTAATTATTTAATACCGAGTTACAGTATTGAGTACAATGGGCTGTCAGAGAAGGCAGAGAGTGATGTGGTTGGAGAGGCTTCATTGGAAGAGGTGAGACCACAAACATCCCTGAAGAATGGGTCTCAGGTAGAAGCAGGAGAGAGAACGCTGTATAGGCTGAAATGTATAGGCCGACTTATAATTCCACTTGCCCTGCTTCTCATTTATTCTCAGCATTTCTATATATTCATTCATATCCTCTTTCAAGATCTTCATGTTTTCAATTTTTTTTTTTTTTGAGACGGAGTCTCACCCTGTCACCCAGGCTGGAGTGCAATGGCGTGATCTTGGCTCACTGTAACGTCCGCCTCCCGGGTTCAAATGATTCTCCTGCCTCAGTCTCCTGAGTAGCTGGGATTACAGGCGCCCGCCACCACGCCCAGCTAATTTTTGTATTTTTAGTAGAGATGGGGTTTCACCATGCTGGACAGGCTGGTCTCGAACTCCTGACCTCGTGATCCACCCACCTTGGCCTCCCAAAATGCTGGGATTACAGGCATGAGCCACCGTGCCTGGCCCCATGTTTTAACTCTTTATCAAAGTACCCCCAAAAAGTATAGGACTTATGCATTATTTGTCAGACCATTTTTTTTGTTGTTTGAAGTCCAGGGTTGCCGCTTGGTCAGCCGTGGCTGACGGATGGTGTTCTATGGCCTCTGCAGTAGCCCTGCAGGACCTGAGTGAGAATGTCCTTGGGTGAGTTGTGTACCTTCAGTTTGACCCACTCCTTGCCACTATTCTGGTCCTACACCTGACCTGACTCAACATTGATATTACGTGCCTTTGTAGGGACTTGAGTTTGCAACTCCTGGTGTTAAGACTGCATTGGACTTTTTAATGATCGCCATTCTAACTGGTGTGAGATGGTATCTCATTGTGGTTTTGATTTGCATTTCTCTGATGGCCAGGAAACAACAGATACTGGAGAGGATGTGGAGAAATAGGAACACTTTTACACTGTTGGTGGGACTGTAAACTAGTTCAACCAGCGTGGCGATTCCTCAAGAATCTAGAACTAGAAATACCATTTGACCCAGCCATCCCATTACTGGGTATATACCCAAAGGATTATAAATCATGCTGCTACAAAGACACATGCACACGTATGTTTATTGCGGCACTATTCACAATAGCAAAGACTTGGAACCAACCCAAATGTCCATCAATGATAGACTGGATTAAGAAAATGTGGCACATATACACCATGGAATACTATGCAGCCATAAAAAAGGATGAGTTCATGTCCTTTGTAGGGACATGGATGAAGCTGGAAACCATCATTCTCAGCAAACTATTGCAAGGACAAAAAACCAAACACCGCATGTTCTCACTTATAGGTGGGAATTGAACAATGAGAACACTTGGACACAGGAAGGGGGGGAACATCACACATCGAGGCCTGTGGTGGGGTGGGGGGGAGGGGGGAAGGATAGCATTAGGAGATACACCTAATGTAAATGACGAGTTAATGGGTGCAGCACACCAACGTGGCACATGTATACGTATGTAACAAACCTGCACGTTGTGCTCATGTACTCTAGAACTTAAAATATAATTAAAAAAAAAAAAAGACTGCATTGGAAACAGGAAAAGGAACCTTGCATAAGAAGTTCTAATTGTTCAGCTGAGCATGGTGGCTTACGTCTGTAATCCCAGCACTTTGTGAGGCCGAGGCGGGTGGATCACCTGAGGCCTGGAGTTCAAGACCAGCCTGGCCAAAATGGTGAAACCTCATTTCTACTAAAAATACAAAAAATTAGCCGGGTGTGGTGGTGGGTGCCTGTAATCCTAGCTACTTGGGAGGCTGAGGCAGGGGAATCTCTTGAACCCAGGGGGCAGAGGTTGTAGTGAGCCAAGATCGTGCCAGTGCACTCCAGCCTGGGCAACAAGAGCAAAACTCCATCTCAAAAAAAAAAAAAGTTCTAATTGTTCTTCGTTTAAAACCTAACCTGCCCTTTTTCCAGATCTCCTTTAAAATTCTCTTCTGCCCGTTTATGGAAGGAAGTAACATATTGTCCTTTTGTTAAGGCTTCTTTCCCTTATTTTCCCTTGGATAATGCCTGGCTTCTTCACACTGGGGCTGGACTGAAAGTTAGAAGCTTGGAGCAGCATGTGCTTAGTGATTTCTAAAGTGTGGAAAGCGCCTTTCTGTAATTAGCCTGAGGAATACTTTCAATATCCAGTAATAAGTGAAGATAGGATTAGGAATGGAAGCTACATTTCAACCTGAAATTTTCAGTTTGCTTTGTGGATATGTTATCTTCTTGGCATTTATTTTGGCCATTTGCTGTCCTTTGGGTAATGTCTGTTTTGGGGGTTGGTAGAGTTGATAAATGACTGGCAAACACTATAATAATTCTTCTTCTTTTTTTTTTTTCTGGTGACATTTTTCCTGCTTTGAGTTTGTCTATGGTCTAGTAAACTCCAAGTAAGTGCCTGTGGTTATAGCTGGGATAGAAGCCCGGGAAACTCACAGATCACATCTGGGCTCTGCCTGTGGCTTAAAGAGGAGCCATCCTCGTGAGTCTTGGTTTCTTGGTTCCAGCCTCACATAGATGAAATGGGCATTCATCATTATTTGTGGTGGTCTTGAATAAAAGACTGAGTGGTGTGAGGTGTTTATAACCTGCAAGGCAATTAGGGGAGAACAGTAACTTTGCTTATCTTGACCTCTTGGGGAATGGGCTGGTTCTTTCCAAGGTTTCCCATGGTAAGGACTGATGTGAGTGGGGTCAGGAAGGTCAAGGGTAATGAGCAGAAGTTACTGGATTTCTTCTGTGCCTGTGTTGCTTGTACGGTGCCTGCAGTGGGGGGCCAAAGTGCGGAGCTCTCTACTGAGTGCCATCATATGTCACCTTCCCTCCTTGGCAGGCACTAAGTGACCGCTTCAGCGGTGAGATCCCCGATGACCAGATGGCGCACAGCTCCTTTTTTCCAGATGAGTATTTCACCTGCTCCTCCTTGTGCCTCAGCTGTGGGTAAGTAAGGCCGCTCCCCCACCTCCCACCCCATACCTTGAGAATAGAGCCTTTGAGTGGTGCTTCCTAGACTTTGGTGTGGATGCAGATCCCCTGGGATCTTGCTAAATTACAGGTTCTGATTTAAATTATCCAAAATGGTACACTCCCATGTTCCCACAAGATCCTGGTGGTCTAGGAACCACACTTCTGAGGTAGCAAGAGCTTGAAGGACACATGGTGGTGAAGAATCTCCTGGAAATTCCAGCTGGTATAGATGTGAAATTGACCAGCTTCTGGTTTGGGAGGTTTTTAGGGCAGAAGACTTTGGGTTGCCTGCTTTTCTGTGTTTTTTCTACCAGAGTTTCCAGTCACTTATTCATAGTATTCTAAGTATTCAAGTGATATTTGAGTGCCCCCCCTGTGCAAAACACTATGGGTCGGTATTGATTCCAGGTGATTCCTTTCACTATTAGGGGAAATGTTTAGAGCACATTAGAATTTTCTGGGGAGCTTTCAAAATTATTTATGCCAGGGCACCACCTTCTGGGATTCTAATTAACGGGTCGTGTGTAGGACCTCTGCATTGCTATGTTTAAGATGCTCCTCAGAGGATTCTAAAGTGCAGCCCGAGCTGAGGACATTGAGTTGGGACAGTGCTTCCGAAACTTCAATTGTGTATGCATCACCTTGAGATTCTGTTAGAATGCAGATTCGGAATCAGGTCTGGGTGAAACCTGAGATTCTGCATTTCTGTCAAGCTCCCGGGCAATGGCTGTGCCTTTGGTTTGTGGACCGCACTTTGTTATGGTTAGAGCAGTGATCCGCAAATTTTAGCATGCATCAGAAAAACCTGAAGGGCAGGATCACTGGGTGCCCCCTCCACAGTTTCTAATTCAGTAGGTCTGAGATAGGGCCTGGGAGTTTGCATTTTAATAAATTTAATAAATTCTCGGCCGGGCACGGTGGCTTACGCCTGTAATCCCAGCACTTGGGGAGGCCGAGGCAGGTGGATCACGAGGTCAGCAGATCGAGACTATGGTGAAACCCTGTCTCTACTAAAAATACAAAAAAATTAGCCTGGCACGGTGGCCGGCGCCTGTAGTCCCAGCTACTCGGGAGGCTGAGGCAGGAGAATGGCGTGAACCCGGGAGGCGGAGCCCGCAGTGAGCTGAGATTGCGCCACTGCACTCCAGCCTGGGCGACAGAGTGAGACTCTTTCTCAAAATAAATAAATAAATAAATAAATAAATAAATAAATAAATAAATAAATTAATTAATTCTCAGGTGATGCTGATGTTCATGGGGACCACCCTTTGAGGATCACTGGATTAGTTTGAACTGTTGATGGCTGTTAAATCAGTGTGGTGACTTGTCTGATGGGCCCCAGGGGATTTAAATGCAGTGTGTCGAGGTCAGATGGCAGCCTCCATGTCCTGTAGACAATCCCTTCCACTCTTCACTACCAAATTGTCTTTGCTTCTACCAGAACCACCCTGTCCTGCACACTTCTCCTTTTACAGGAGTAGACCTGACCTACATCTGTTATGAATGGTCATTTCACTTTGAGTCCTGTAGGCCACCTGCTGCATGCAGAACCACCTCTGACCTTGCCGAGAAAAAGACCTGCTTCTTGGATTATACAGCCTGGGCAAGGGAGAACTAAGGATTATCTTGGAGAGTTCAGTTTGGAAAGGGGAGAGGGATGTTAGTTGACAGTGTGACTTACCTTCCTTTTTGCATGCCCCATGAGCCCAGCACAAGAGACTTAAGCACTGTTGGATCATTGCTTTCCCATTGTGAGCCTCCCCAGGATTTCTGGAACTTTCCCTTTTATCATAGTGAAATTCTAAAGTCCTGATCTCTGTTTTTGCATTATCAGGATGGCAGAGCTCATTGTTCATTTGGAAGGCTTGTTCAGCCTAAGCCTCCCCTTAATGCATTGCCAAATTTTGGGGTTGGTTTTCATTTTGCATCTTGGCAGCCTGTTCTGGGTAAACGTTCCATTTCATCTTGTTTGGATTTTTTGAGTCTTCTGAGAGACGTTCAGGTTTCCTCTCTGGTCAAGTTGGTATCTTATGGCTCCTCCATTTCTGCTGAGGGGACAGGTAGTTTTTCCAACAAGGGATTTCTGGGTGTATTTTTTTTTTTTTTTTTAAAGACAGAGTCTCGCTGTTGCCCAGGCTGGAGTATAGCGGTGTGATCTTGGCTTACTGCAACCTCCGCCTCCTGGATTCAAGTGATTCTCCTGCCTCAGCCTCCTGAGTAGCTGGGATTACAGGCATGAGCCACTATGCCTGGCTAATTTTTTTGTATTTTTAGTAGAGACGGGGTTTCTCCATGTTGGTCAGGCTGGTCTTGAACTCACTGCAACCTCCACCTCCTGGGTTCAAGCGATTCTCCTGCCTCAGCCTCCCGAGTACCTGGGACTATGGGTGCCCGCCACCATGCCCGGCTAAGTTTTGTATTTTTGGTAGAGTCGATGTTTCACCATGTTGGCTAGGCTGGTCTTGAACTTCTGACCTGAAGTGATCTGCCCCCGTCGGCCTCCCAAAGTACTGGGATTACAGACGTGAGCCACCGTGCCCGGCTGAGATTTCTTTTTCCCCTGTGTCCTCATACAAGGATAGTAGTCGCTGTGCCTCTGTAGTGCTGTTGATTGCAAGTGTAACAAAGAGGCATGTGGGTTTCCGGCTACCCTTTCTGTGTTCAGCATCTGAGGCCCAGTTAGTAATCAAGGTCTGGTCGTGGCCTTGTGCCTGGCTCAGGGTCAGGCTGTTCTGTGTAAGTGGCACTGGCTCCTTTAGCCGTCTCATTGTCAGTCTTTGGGCTTCATTCAGGGTTGGATGTAAGAAAAGCATGAATCATGGGAAGGAAGGAGTGCCTCATGAAGCCAAGAGCCGCTGCAGATACTCCCACCAGTATGACAACCGAGTGTATACCTGCAAGGTGAGTCCTCCGAGCTCCTCCCTGTGTCAGCAGCGGGCTTGCTGACCACTCTCTCTTTGGCAAGACTATCTTGGGGCCATTTTTTGCTGCATGCTGAAGTATTTGATATTCAAATTGAATATTTCTGGAACTTCTCTCCAGCTCTAACAAAAAGCACTCACATGTCTTCATTGGTGAGGGTCCCTTTGTTTACTGTTTTAAGCTTATTTTCTTCTCATTCTGTTGAGCTTGTATGTAAGGGTAATTTATATCGAACATTCATTCTTTTTTTTTTTTTTTTTTTTTTTTTTTTTTGAGACAGAGTCTTGCTCTGTCAGCCAGGCTGGAGTGCAGTGGCACAATCTTGGCTTACTGCAACCTCCACCTCCTGGGCTGCAGCAATTCTCCTGCCTGAGCCTCCTGAGTAGCTGGGATTACAGATGTGTGCCACCATGCCCAGCTAATTTTTGTATTTTTAGTAGAGACAGGGTTTCACCATGTTGGCCAGGCTGATCTCGAACTCCTGAGATCGGGCAGATTGCTTGAGCCCAGGAGTTCACAACCAGCCTGGGCTGGTAAAACCCCGTGTCTATTAAAAAAACAAACAAAAAACAAACAATAAGCTAGCAGAGTGTTTCCTGTTTCAGGCCTGCTATGAGAGAGGCGAGGAAGTCAGTGTAGTGCCCAAAACATCTGCTTCCACTGACTCCCCCTGGATGGGTCTCGCAAAATATGCCTGGTCTGGGTGAGTTTAAACAACATGGCTCAAGGTTTTCTGGTGCGTTTGTCTCCCCAGGCACCTGGCTGGGTAACAGTATTGATTTGCTTTCCTTGTAGGTATGTGATCGAATGTCCTAACTGTGGCGTGGTCTATCGTAGTCGGCAGTACTGGTTTGGAAACCAAGATCCTGTGGATACGGTGGTGCGGACAGAGATTGTGCATGTGTGGCCTGGAGTAAGAACTGTTGGATTTCTCTGTTTTTCTTTATCTTGTGTCGTTCAGTTTTTCATGTGTATAGAAAACTGGAACCTGCTTAAAATTAAGGTTAACCATGAATTTCAGAATGTTGGCGGTTTAGAAAGGCATGATCTGGAGAGCTTTTTTGTTCTCTAGACCAAAATTGTTTTTATTTTTTCTTGCATATATATTAGAAGTACAACTTTAAATGAAATAAACTAAAAATCTATAGTTTTACTCCTTTGGCAAATAAAACGTTTTTGCATGTTCTACTCATTCATTTTCTATATGTGTATGTTTTTCTAGATGCAAATATTTACATGCCTTTTTCCTGCTTTTTTTCCTCACAATGCTATTTTATTTAGTTTTATTTCCACCTTTTTAAAAAGATCATTAAAATGCTAGTCACCATCTTCGTGTAAGAAAGCCATTTTTTTGTTATAGGAAATTTTCTTGAAGTATATTCTAAGAAGTGGGATTCCTATAGACGCTTAATCTTTTTTTTTTTGAGACGGAGTTTCGCTCTTGTTCCCCAGGCTGAAGTGCAATGGTGAGATCTTGGCTCTCTTGGCTCACTGCAATCTCCACCTCCCGGGTTCAAGTGATTCTCCTGCCTCAGCTTCCCGAGTAGCTGGGATTACAGGCACGACCGCCACGCCCGGCTAATTTTGTATTTTCAGTAAAGACAGGGTTTCTCCATGTTGGTCAGGCTGGTTTCAAACTCCCGACCTCAGGTGACCTGCCCACCTCGGCCTCCCAAAGGGCTGGGATTATGGGCGTGAGCCACCGCGCCCAGTTTAATGATTATTTTTTAACTTTTGAATTCCAGATGTCAGAAATACAAATCTGTTTGTGAGGCAGTGATATCATGCTTTCATTCTGCATTAAATCACTGTTCACACTTAGCATTGTCCATAAATCACAACAAATCCAAAACCTTTTCCTTTCATGGAAAAAAGGCAAGTGATTATCCCTGAGGGACTTATTTTACTCTGTGTCATTGTCCTCGCTGGGTGATTCCTAAAGCCACCGTTCAGCCTAGGAGTTCTACCTGCAGGTCCTCTCCTGAGCTTTCCTGGATCCTATAGGTACCATAAAACTGAAGATTTCCTTATTTTTTAAACTTTTTTTTTTTTTTTTTGAGATGGAGTCTTGCTCTGTCACCCAGGCTGGAGTGCAGTGGTGTGATCTCGGCTAACTGCAACCTCCACCTCCTGGGTTCAAGCAATTCTCCTGCCTCAGCCTCCCGAGTAGCTGGGATTACAGGCGCGTGCTACCACACCCAGCTAATTTTTGTATTTTTAGTAGAGACAGGGTTTCACCATGTTGGCCAGGATGGTCTCGATCTCTTGACCTTGTGATCCACCTACCTCGGCCTCCCAAAATGCTGGGATTACAGGCGTGAGCCATCGCACCCGGCCGATTTCCTTATTTTTCTCCTCCTTTTTCTAATTTTCTGGCCCACTGAAATCTGTTATTATATAGTAGTCTCATTATGGGAGCCCACCTCCTTGGCATAATGGTTTATTCCATTATGTCCCAAGGATTTAACGTGGCCTTATAGCGAGAAAGTAAAGGTGGTAAGATAGTTTATGTTCCAGGAAAACAGGACTGCAGTAATTTACTCTCAGGTCACATTCTTCACAGTCCTCGAAATTAGGAGGATACAGATGCCTTCCCTGCTGTTTGTTTGCTCCTTCCTTCCTTCCTTCCTTCATTCATTATTCAGCATACATTGTTGTGTACCTTGTGCCCAGCACTGAGCTAGTTACTTTACAAAATACAAAAATGACAAAGAGTTATTGTCAGGGAGTTCAGAGTTTAATAGGGAAGTCAGATACCTAAATGGATATTGTACTTAGACACACAGAAATAGGATTCCTAGAGATGTCCAAGTATTAGAAGAACTGAGAGGAAAGGTTCTTAACTCAGCCTGCGGTGCGGGGCCCCCTGGAGGAGGTGTCATCTCCTGTATTATATGGGCTTAGTAAGTCCTGAATTGAACAGCTACACATCAAGTCTTATGGTCACTTTGAAGAGAATAAAGCCAGAGGGATTCCTGGTGTGTCTCCGTTCTTCCCTGCCAGGGAGTTAGTGGTTCTGAGTTGGCCACGGTGAGTGTGCAACTCACCAAACATCCCTCTTCCTCCTTCCTTTCACTCCCTTCTCAGAGCATGATGGAAGCCTGCGTTTTCATTTCAGACTGATGGGTTTCTGAAGGACAACAACAATGCTGCCCAGCGCCTGTTGGACGGGATGAACTTCATGGCTCAGTCGGTGTCCGAGCTTAGCCTTGGACCCACCAAGGCTGTGACTTCCTGGCTGACAGACCAGATCGCCCCTGCCTACTGGAGGCCCAACTCCCAGATTCTGGTATGGTGTGCCAGGATGCCCCTCCACTCCTGGCACAGCCCATCCTACTTAATGCCGCTTTGCCCTGTGCTAAGCTTGTTCTGTGAGGGAGACGCAAACATTTTCTGCCAGTGCAGTGAGCTCTGTGAGTACCGGCAAGGGGAGGAGTCGTTGAGGCAGCCAGTTTCTCTTTGCCCATTGATTTCCCTTCGTGTTTTCCTGCAAGTATTTTCTGTTTGGTGAGTTTTAGTTTCCTTGTGTGTGACGACCAGTGAATATTGCTTAGATATGTGAGGACCCAGATAAGAATCTGGAGGAAAAGGGGTCTTTAGAGGTTATTTAGGGTCATCCTCAGCTTGATCCATTAACGCTACAGCACCCAGAGCAAGAGAGCACCCAGCTTCAACCCAGACACTTAGTGAAAGGAAACTCACTGTCCACCAGGCTTCCTTTCCATTCTCAGATAACGCGTTACTAGAAAGCTCTTGTCCTTGTTGAGCTAACGCCACCTGCCTTAGTTTCTGCTTGCTCCGGGGTCTTGTTGACTTTCTCAGCTGAGCAGACATGTACCATACCTACCTGCCTCTCTGTTTTGTTTTGGGCTTGGAACAGAGCTGCAACAAGTGTGCGACGTCCTTTAAAGATAACGACACTAAGCATCACTGCCGAGCCTGTGGGGAGGGCTTCTGTGACAGCTGTTCATCAAAGACTCGGCCAGTGCCTGAGCGGGGCTGGGGCCCTGCGCCAGTGCGGGTCTGTGACAACTGCTACGAAGCCAGGAACGTCCAGTTAGGTAACGTGGGACCTGGGAGCTGCAGGGGTGGAGGGGAGAACCTCCCACATTGGCCCTGGGTGCTAAGAACTGGATATCCAGATGCCCTAATCCACATCTCCCTTGTGAGAGTACTTCTGGTCTTGGCCAGTCAGCCTCTAAGCTCCTTGTTAACAGCGTCCTATGGGTGCTGTTCCTCAGGGGCTCGAACCTGTCCTGCATTCTTAGCTGCAGAGTTGCTTCTGGGGGAAGGGAATGCGCACATAGCAACTGAATTCTGAAAAGGCTGCAGTGTTTACCAGAGATGGCTTAGACCAGTCTTCTCCTTTGAGAAGGTTCTAGTTTTCGCTCCTAGAACCTTTCTGCCTTACTTTAAAAGAAGGGTTATAAAGGAGCCCCAGAAGGTTGCAGCTAAAGGACTAACAGATGTCATCTAATTTCAGAGTCTGGGCTGACCTGACCCACAGCACAGACCCTTGCAGTAGTTGCAGGACAGCACAGTGGTGTCTGGGATCAGAATCCAGAAGCGTTCTGCTATTGGTCCCTGAGTTTTCCATTTGGGAGAGGACTTAGAGGTGACAGCATTTCCTTTATTACTGTCTACAGCTGTTACCGAGGCACAAGTGGACGATGAAGGTGGAACGCTCATTGCTCGGAAGGTGGGCGAGGCCGTGCAGAACACTCTGGGAGCCGTGGTGACAGCCATTGACATACCACTAGGTGGGCCTGGCAGTGCTTCTCTTGGGGGTAGTGGATGCGGGTTGAGGGGTTTCAGGTGCCCTGGGCTGTCACTTTGTAAAGGCTTGCCAACCTAGATTGAGATGGGTGGTAAAGGAATCAATTACACAATGCCACACATTTGCTTGCTTCTGCTGAATGCCTTAGTAGTTTCATGTTTATTGCTGGAAGCCATTCTCTTACAGCATCTAGTGCTGTGTAACGAGCTACCTTAAAATGTAAAGGCTTAAAACAGCCATCTTTGATGTCTTTGCAGGTCTAGAAGTCAGGAAGGGTAATTATTCAGCTCCAAGTGGCATTGGCTCTAGTTACTACCTGATATTCCAGGGTGGTAGCTGGAGTGGTCTCAAGGGTCCAAGCTGACCTCACTTACAAGCTGGGTGCCTTGGCAGGGACAGTTAGGAGGCTGTGTGTAGCAGAGCCTCACTCGGTCTTTGTATTCTCCAGGCCTCTTCAGTGGTTTCTTTGGCACTTCTTAAATGATGTCAGGGTTCCAGGAGTTAATGTTCCAAGAGACAGGAAGTGGATGCTGCCCATCTCTTTTTTTTTGTTTGTTTGTTTGTTTGTTTTTTTGAGATGGAGTCTTACTCTGTCACCCAGGCTGGAGTACAGTGGTGCGATCTTGGCTCACTGCAACCTCCGCCTTCCAGGTTCAGGCAATTCTCCTACCTCAGCCTCCCAAGCAGCTAGGATTACAGGCACGTGCCACCATGCCCAGCTAATTTTTGTATTTTTAGTAGAGACGGGGTTTCACCATGTTGACCAGGCTGGTCCCGAACTCCTGAGCTCAGGTGATCCACCGGCCTTGGCCTCCCAAAGTGCTGGGATTACAGGCGTGAGCCACTGTGCCTGGCTGAAGCTGCCCATCTCTTGAGGCCTAGGACTGCAGACAGGCACTTCTGCTGTCATCTCCTGGAGTCTGCTGCCGTCACAGGTTTGTCTAGATTCAAGGGAGGGGGCAGGAGTGTCAAAGATGGAAAGTGGGTGAAAGATTCTATGGCTGTCTTTAGTCTGTCACACCAGCCAAACTGTTAGTAGTTTAAGATTTAAAATAGCTGGCCGGGCACCGTGGCTCACGCCTATAATACCAGCACTTTGGGAGGCCAAGGCAGGTGGATCACGAAGTCAAGAGATCAGTCTTGGCCAACACACGGTGAAAACCCGTCTCTACTGAAAATACAAAAAAATTAGCCAGGCGTGGTGGCGGGCACCTGTAGTCCCAGCTACTAGGGAGGCTGAGGCAGGAGAATGGCATGAACCCGGGAGGTGGAGCTTGCAGTGAGGCGAGATCGCACCACTGCACTCCAGCCTGGGCAACAGAGCGAGACTCTGTCTCAAAAAAAAAAAAAAAAGAAGATTTAAAATAGCTACCCAGCCCTGGATGTGAGGGGTATTTGTATTTAGGATGGCGAGGGGGAGAGGGAGGGAAATCAACCAGTGCTTGGCAGGCTTACGCAAGGCTGGCCAGGCCTGGGGCAGCGTGGCACATTGTAGGGGAGCGAGCAAAAGTGAGTAGTGATGAAAATGGCCTGGAGCAGATTTCCTCATTGCAGCTCACAAAGTGAGTAGATGATGTAGGAATTGCTGGATTTGCCCAAGCTTAAATCTCAGGTTGCATCTGTCCCCAGGGGTACCTGGGAGAGGCAAGAACTGTCCTTGGCACAGAAGGCAGAGCATAGCCTGCTGGCTGTGCTCACCAAGTGCTCCCATTCTGAGCGCCCACAGGGTGTTGAGTACCAGGCCAGTGTGTCAGGCATGTTCTTTCTTCTCATCCTCATCACAGTTCTTGAAGGTGGGTTGTTAAAGATGAGTAAGCCCCTGAGAGGTTAGCTAACCTTTCTTTTTTTTTTGAGACTGACTCTCGCTATTGTCCAGGCTGGAGTGCAGTGGTGTGATCTTGGCTTACTGCAACCTCCACCTCCCAGGTTTAAGCGATTCTCATGCCTCAGGCTTCCAAGTAGCTGGGGTTATACCACCACGCCCGGCTAATTTTTGTATTTTTAGTAGAGACAGGGTTTCACCATGTTGGCCAGGCTGGTCTCGAACTCCTGACCTTGAGTGGTCCTCCTGCCTCTGCCTCCCAAAGTGCTGGGATTATAGGTGTGAGCCACCATGCCCAGCCTTAGCTAACCTTTCTTAATCCAGCAGCTGCTGATTAACCTGATCTCAGTAGAATTGGGATTTGAGTGTCTGACTCCAGAGCCCAGACTTCTTTATATTTCCTCCAGGGGTTCTTAACACGGCTGCCCCTTCAGTTTACAAGGAGGGCTTCATAGATACATAAAGATCAAGGAGCTGGGTGTGGGGGTGCATGCCTATAATCCTAGCTACTTGGGAGACTCAGGCAGGAGGCTCCCTTGAGTCCCAGTAATTTGAGACCAGCCTGGGCAACAGAGTGAGACCCTGTCACAAAAGAGAAAGAAAGGGCGTGGTGGCTCATGCCTATAATGTTATGCCTACAATCCCAGCACTTTGGGAAGCCGAGGTGGGCAGATCACTTGAGACTAGGAGTTCGAGACCAGCCCGGACAACATGGTGAAACCCTGTCTCTACAAAAATTAGCCAGGTGTGGTGGTGCACACCTGTAGTCCCAGCTACTTGGGAGGCTGAGGTGGGAGGATTGTTTGAACCCAGGAGGCAGAGGTTGTGGTGAGCCGAAATCGTGATACTGCACTCCAACCTGGGCGACAGAATGAGACTCTGACTCCAAAAAATCTTAAAAAATGTGAAAAAGGAAAAGGGAAAATCAGTGCCTATGCGACAGCCCCAAAGACTCTGATCTGGATGTGAGTGGCAGAGCCTGGGCTTCTGCATTTTTAAAAAGCTCTGTCAGCAATTCTGTGTGCAGTTGGGATTATAAGCCAGTAAGCATCCGAGGATGGCCTCTTGCTAGTTGGGCCTCGGGGTATTGGGCTTTGGGTGCCCTGACCATTGTTCCCTGCCTTAGGTCTGGTAAAGGACGCGGCCAGGCCTGCGTACTGGGTGCCTGACCACGAAATCCTCCACTGCCACAACTGCCGGAAGGAGTTCAGCATCAAGCTCTCCAAGCACCACTGCCGGGCCTGCGGACAGGGCTTCTGTGATGAGTGCTCCCATGACCGCCGGGCTGTTCCTTCTCGTGGCTGGGACCATCCCGTCCGAGTCTGCTTCAACTGCAATAAAAAGCCCGGTGACCTTTAACCCCAGCCCCCTCTCCGAGTCCTTCACAATTCCTTAGGTTCTCAGGGTTAGAAACAGTCTTGCGAGGTAGGCCCTCCTCCCAGTCACCTGCTGTGGTGTGTGTCCTCTCCTCTCCGCATCCAGGGCCACTTTCCCTCAGTGGGGGTGAGCCTGGCGGCAGGCCCGAAGGTGTGGACCCCTCAGGGCAGGGGACCTTGCAACTTATCGCAAAGGGGAATGAACCTGAATCCGTTGCATTTATTTCAGTTAAAAATAATGAATATATATGTGTATATCTCTCTCTCATATATACATATGAAAGGCACTCGGGGCGTATCGAGGCTGCTGCTGGCTGTGAAGACTTCGCACAGTCTCCTCCGCACAGGGTGAGGTGGCAGTGGCAGCACGTCTTCCTCATGAGCCGAGCCAGGTCCATGGCCACCACGTGGCTGGCCCCTTCCTCTGCTGCTCTTGGAGCCTTGGAAGCCTCTCCTGTCCTTGGCTCTTCCCTCCATGCCTGTCAGCTGCCTGGGGAGTGAGCCTCCCTGGTCCTTCCTGCCTGAAACAGCCTGAAGGGAATTCTCCCTAGGTCTCCTGGGAGTCGAGTCCCAATTCTTGGCTTAAGCCTGTTTTAGTCAGAGACCACCCAACTTAGCGTGCAGGTCACCGGAGTGGGTGGAGGGTCAGAGGTCGGGTCTTCGGCCCTGAGAAGTAGAAATGCAGGGGCCGTGCTGTCCCTGGTCCCCCAGGGAACAGCAAGGAAGGAACTGAGCCTTCTCCAGCAGGGCTTCCTGTCCCGATGCTTCTGTCTCCACTCGGCTTTCCCAAAAGGCGGCACCCAGCTCCTCAATCGAAGCATCTGCCTCCCACCCCTCGGCCCCCTCAAGCCCACCATCTGCTTCTGAGTGTCGCACTAGGATTTTCATTGCTTATTTTAAAGTGTCTTAATCCTTTGTTCCCAGACACACAACCCCTCTAGCTCTCGGAGGGGCGATCATGAGAAACCTTCCAGGGAAACTGAGCACAGGATGAACTGTTAGTTGTTTTTAAAAGTCTATATAAATATTTCAACAGATCGTAAAGAAAAAATTTATCTCTTTGGTCCTTGCAAGAGAAGTCAAAGGAACTTTTGTTTCTCCTCAAGAGCCTGGACATCTCTGTCTGTCATGACTGGAAAGGGCCCGTTGTGCTGAAATCCTATCATCATGGTGGATTTGATCTTCAGTGGCCAAACACGAATTAAAGTATAATTCTTAACTGAACTGGTGGGTGGGTTGAGCTTTAGGGAAGTATATGGCGGTCATTCCTGGTGCGCCTATCGGTGTGACATGAGCCCTGGAGTGTGTCGTCCCTCTCAGCCCTGCTCCTCCTGCCTCCTGGGGTCCAGTGACTGGGACCCTACTCTAGAACTGTGTACCATCCAATTCGCCATCATAAAGGAATCTTCCTGCATCTCGACTGTGCTGGCTCTTTCCTCTCATTCCATCAGTGCCTTCCAGCCACCATCTGTCTCCAGCTGATGGTGGCTTTCCAAGCAGAGGCCAAGTAAGGGGCATGTTTCAAGGGCGGTAATATTTTACCTGCAAATACTGCAGTCTTTTACTCTGACAAATAAGAACTTTTTCAAAACCATAGCCGGCTGGGCGTGGTGGCTCATGCCTGTAATCTCAGCACTTTGGGAGGCCAAGGCCGGAGGGGGATCACTTTAGGTTGGGAGTTCGAGACCAGCCTGACCAACATGTAGAAACCCCGTCTCTACTAAAAATACAAAAAATTAGTTGGGTGTGGTGGCGCAATCTTGTCATCCCAGCTACTTGGGAGGTTGAGGCAAGAGAATTGCTTGAACCCGGGAGGTGGAGGTTGTGCTGAGCTGAGATTGCACCATTGTTGCACTGTAGCCTGGGCAACAAGAGTGAAACTCTGTTTAAAAAAAAAAAAAAAATGGCCAGGCGCGGTGGCTCACGCCTGTAATCCCAGTACTTTGGGAGGCCAAGGCGGGAAGATCATGAGGTCAGGAGATCAAGACCATCCTGGCTACCATGGTGAAACCCCATCTCTACTAAAAATACAAAAAAAATTAGCCGGGCGTGGTGGTGGGCACCTGTAGTCCCAGCTACTCAGGAGGCTGAGGCAGGAGAATGGCTTGAACCCAGGAGGTGGAGTTTGCAGTGAGCCGAGATTGCGCCACTGCACTCTAGCCTGGGTGACAGAGTGAGACCCCGTCTCAAAACAAACAAACAAACAAACAAAAAAACCCCACCATAGCCAAGTACCCCCAAACCATGATCCTGTGCAGTGGATGTCAGTCTCATGACCACAGCCTGTTGTCCCCAGCCCTTCGCTAGATACCATGCCCCACCCAGATCAGTGTGCTGACTGGGACCAGAGCTTTGAGCTGGTCATGAATATTCCTTTATGTAGGGAAGGCAATAGCTGACAGTCATGGAATTCTCTCTAGTGACTAGAGGGCCCCCACATTCTTACCACTTATCCTGTACTTAGAGGTGTTCCTCAGACCTTTCTGCAGCCGGGGTCACCCGGCAGACCCCCTTTCTGCAGCCGTGGCATTGGCTGAGCAAGGCTCAGCGGTGGCGGTTTCACAGCTTGGGTTCTCTGGGTTACACTCTGGCAGCTGTCGGGTCAGGGTCTGTTGAGGAATCCTCTCGCACAGTAGAAGAGATGGGGTATTAGTCCTGATTTTCACTCCCTAGGTTTAAAATACGTAGTCCTGGCTAGGCGTGGTCACTCATACCTGTGATCCCAGCACTTTGGGAGGCCAAGGTGGGCGGATCACTTAAGCCCAGGAGTTTGAGACCAGCCTGGGCAACGTGGTGAGTGAACCCTGTCCCTACCAAGAAAACCAACCCCTCCCCCCAAAAAAGCTGGGCGCCTGTAATTCCAGCTACCGGGAGGCTGAGGTAGGAGGATTGCTTGAGCCTCAGAGATGTCACTGTACTCCAGCCTGGGTGACAGAGTGAGAACCTGTCTCAACAACAAAAACAAACCTATTGAACTATTATACATCTATACTTCAGCTTGATTTTCTCAAACTGAATACTACGTAACCAATCAGCACCCAAATTAAGAAACAGAACATGGCTGTCCTGCAAGAACTCCTGGTCCCTCCCCCCACCAGGAGTAACCACTATCCGACATGTAGTAACAGATTTTCGTCCCCTCTCCTTTTCAGGGGGAGCCATGGAAAGGGTTTTAATCACTTTCTGGTTTAAAAGGCTTGCTCATAGGTAGAGACAGTTGTTGAACATATCCCTGAGGGCTGTGACTGGAGATTGCAACTTGTGGCTGAGAATGACGCGGTCTGTGATCAATGAGACCAAGTGGGATCCTTACACATCCCTTGGGTTTAACTGCTGATTTATTTGGGAACCGGAAAAGCAAAGAGAACCAATATTTAGGTGCCTGTTAACGTGCCTTGCACTATGCTAGGAGCTTTACATGGTTAATTGTCACAACCACACTGGAAGGTCCGCAGTAGGGTTCTTGTCTTACAGCCTAAGACACTGGCTCCTACAGGATCAGAAGCCCAGCATTGCCCGGCACACTCCAAGCTGGCCTGAGTCCAGGCAGCCCCAGACCCCTTCTATCACCATCGCACTGTAGAGTTTCTCCCCCTGTTTTCCTTCCCCTTCACAGCTTGTTAATTCTTTTGCATTTCCAGGTAAGGTCAATATCTTCTTAGGAGGAAAGGTAAGAATCAAGGTGACTGCTAGTGTGGTCAGCAAGCTTAGCTTTGATCATTTCCATTGGCCTTGAAGATTCTCATGGCTGAGGGCAATCACACTTTTTCACTAAAAGCAGCTTTATTTTTCACTAAAAAGACTCACTGGCTGAGAGATTAAACAAGTTGATCTAGCCTATAACATGAGCTAAGCTTCCAATTTTTTTTTTTTTTTTGAATTTTATAGAGATGGGGTTTTGCCATGTTGCCCAGGCTGGTCTTGAACTCTTGGCTCAAGCAATCTGCTGCCTTGGCCTCCCAAAGTGCAGGGGGTACAGGTGTGAGCCATTGTTCCTGGCCAGCTTCCAATTGTTAAAAAAAATTGATTCAATGTTAATTTTGCAGCTATGTTTGCATTTTCCATTTCAGACTTACCATGATTAGGGAGAGACAGTGGAACCCACAATCGTAGTCTGTAATTCTTCTCATCATGAATAGGATGTTTTAGTTACTGTACAAAATCTGAGCACATTTTAACTCCTAAATCTTAAATTGCACCTGGTATAATTTTTTTTTTAATGTACTTTGGAAATCGTCACATACTCGTGAACACTAAAGCCCATAGGGTATGGGGTTTTCTGGGATTAGATAATCTGTAATTTAGTGACAGGCTCATGTGAACAGAGCCATCTTTGAAACTACCATTTGTAGACAGCGAGCCATGCAGTCCTCCAGTACATGATGCTGTACTGAGGGACTTAACCACTGCCACGTTTTCAACAGCCACCTTAAACTGGCCATACCCTTAACTCTAGCCAGAATCTCTCTGACGCTCTGGCTTTATCCTTAGATAACTCCATTTCATATCCAAAGATAGTGGAACTCAGCTGGGCATGGTGGCTCGTGCCTATAATCCCAGCACTCTGGGAGGCTGAGGCGGGAGGTTCACTTGAGGCCAGGAGTTTGAGACCAGCCTGGGCAACATAGCAAGACCCTGTCTCTGTGAAAACAAACACAAAAACACTGCAACACAAGCAGAGCCTGAATGGATTTCCCAGCCACCATGGCACCTCGGTTCTGGCTGCCCTGGACTACCAGGAGCATTTGTGTCTGCGTGCCTTTGCTCAGATTATGGTGTCTACAGAGAATATCCTTTTTGGTATTGCAGCAGCTGCCTTTATTCACGCGAAGCCAAGAGTGCAAGCAGGCAGGCAGGTAGTAGGAGCAAGCAGGGAGACCTGAGCAAAGATACGATAGCCAGGCCCAGGCCAGAAGGTACTGTGGGAGGCAGAGGCAGTGAGTCTTAAGGAAAGAGGAAGAAAAGGGGAAAATGTTGAACTGAACCCAAGAAGATCTTAAATGTCCAGAGGAACAGTAAGAAGCCCATTCTCCCCAACACAAGGGGCCTAATAAGAGTCTTGAACTTCAGTAGGAGCCTCAGCTGGCTCTGCTACACTTATCAGCAGAAGACCTTGGGCAAATCACTCTCTTGAGATTCAGTTTTTTCTTCTGTAAAGTGTGGAAATTTACTTTCTAGGGTTGTAGTAATGAAAGCAAAATCATGCTGGCAAAACAAAAAATTGTTCATCTATCATAACAAGTGTCTAGTTGCATCAAATGCTGGGGAAACGAAACTTCCTGAGGTGTCTTTTACGCTGAGCCTTAAAAGTTGGACTTTTCTGGATGAAAAGGAGTTGGGCAGCTTGAGCAGAGGCCCAGATGTGTGGGGGACAGGCTTGAAACGTGGTGTCCCGAGAGCACCAGGTGTGAGGCAGAGATGGCGCAAGAGGATGGAGAGGCATATGAGGTCAGATCACAAAAGGCCACACACTCTATCTGAGTCACAGGAAGCCATCAAAAGCAAAGATCTAGAAAGATCATTCCTGTGGCAGTACAGTGGATGGACTGGAGAGGACAGACTTAGAGTAGGACCAGAGCCTTTTAGCAACACGTACAAATGGAGAAATCAAGAAGAAATGGAGTTTAGCCTGAAATTGTTTTTGGAGATGGTTGGAAGATTTAGACCAGGACAGATCTAGGGTTGACAGGCAATAGAGAGGGGCTGATTCAGTGTTCGATGAAGGATGCCTGCTGTGAGGAACCTTTCTGGGGACACCCAGGAGGCTGGCAGTGCCCTCCAAACCATGTTGGGCCAGTTGGATTCTCGGGTGTCCACAGCAACATGGGACATGAGGCAGTATTTATTTGTGGGCTTTTTTTTTTTTTGAGACGGAGTCTTACTCTGTCGCTCAGGCTGGAGTGCAGTGGTGCAATCTCGGCTCACTGCAGCCTCCGCCTCCAGGGTTCAAGGGATTCTCCTGCCTCAGCCTTCTGAGTAGCTGGGATTACAGGCGTGCACCACCACGCTTGGTTAGTTTTTGTATTTTCAGTAGACACGGGGTTTCACCACATTGGCCAGGCTGGTCTTGAACTCCCAACCTCAAGTGATCCCAAAGTGTTGGGATTACAGGTGTGAGCCACTGCACCCGGCCAGTATTTGTGGACATTTTTGATAACCAGTGTGTGCCATTCATTGTTGTCTCTAGAAGGCTATAAGTAAGCAAACACTGAGCTAGTCAGCAAGGGGTCTATCACAGCTCAGTGCTGCCGTCACAATCACCTGCTCATTTGCTACCTTTCATTGTCACCTGGGGAGTAGGGCAAAATGGAAAATCCTTCAAGGCCAGGCACGGTGGCTCACACTTGTAATCCCAGTGCTTGGGATGCCAAGGCATCCCTTTGAGGCCAGGAGTTCTAGACCAGCCTGAGCAACATGGCAAAATCCTGTCTCTACAAAAAAAAGAAACCCCAAAACCTCAAAAATCAGACTGATGTGGTGGCACACGCCTGTAATCTCAGCTACTCAGGAGGCTGAGGTGGGAGAATTGCTTGAGCCTGGGGGGGTCAAGGCTGCAGTGAGCCAAGATCACACCTGGGCGACAGAGTGAAACCTTGTCTAAAAAAAAAAAAAAGAAAAATGCTCAGAGATTGTAACATATTAATTTTTATGACATCAGTGGTAACAAGCAAACTGGCCAAAATGCTTAATCAACTTCTTGGCCAAGTTTAACCCCTTTTCATGCAACCTAGACCACATTTTAGGTGCAGTGAGTGTTAACCAAGAACAAACTGCTGCTCTTTCCCCCCCGCCACTGAGTCACGGAGGCAGAGGCTCAGGTGTGTTCAAGAATCAGCTTCCCCCCTAACCCACCACCATGGCCCAGGAAGGCATCACTGCTGGAGGTGTCATGGACCTTAATACTGCTTTATAAAGGTCCCAAAGGCTGCCCTCATCCATGATGGCCTAGCACATGGAATTTGAGGAGCTGCCAAAGTCCTAGACAAGCGCTGGGCACATCCTTGTGTGCTGCCCCCAGCTGTGATGAGCCTGCCTATGTGGCTGAAGACCCTTGGTGCTGAACACCGGATCACCCTAATTACAGTTGATGACAAGAAACTAGGGGAAAGGGTGAGCCACTGTAAAACTGACAAAGGGAAAACCCCATAAGGTGGTTAGTTGTGGTTGCGTAGCATTAAAGACCATGGCAAAGGATGTCATCAAAGAGGTTTTTTTTTTGTTTGTTTTTTGAGACAGTCTCTCCTGTCACCCTGGCTGGAGTGCAGTGGCATGATCTGGGCTCACTGCAGCCTCCACCTCCTGGGTTCAAGCAATTCTCCTGCCTCAGCCTCCCAAGTAGCTGGGATTACAGGCACGCACCACCACACCTGGCTAATTTTTGTATTTTTAGTAGAGACAGGGTTTCTCCATGTGGCTCAAGCTGGTCTTGAACTCCTGAACTCAAGTGATCCGCCCACCTTGGTTTCCAAAGTGCTGGGATTATTGGCGTGAGCCACTGTGCCTGGCCCTTCTTTCATGTTTTAATTCAAGGGAGCTTTTCAAAAGTATATGTTGAAGGAACATTTTTATATATACTCTGACACACACCCGATGGCCAAATTGTGTTCACAGCTCTCAGACTTACTCATAGATTTAGAATCTCCTCAGGTACTTGGTCTTAATGGAAGGCAGCGGAGGTCCTAAAGGGGGGCTTTCTGTCCTAATGGTCAGCTGGAATGTGGGAGGAGCAATTTTAGCACAAGAGCAAGCTGAAAATCCCTCTATCTTTTCTGGTGACGCTGTGGCTGACAGTATTTACTTTTAAATGAGAAAACATCCGGGAAGGGGGCACCCGGATTTGAACCGGGGACCTCTTGATCTGCAGTCAAATGCTCTACCCCTGAGCTATACCCCCTTCACCTATCAGGAACTCCTTCCTTGTCCACTTATGGTGACTCAATACAATCAAGTTCCACCCACACTAGAGTTCTGGCAAGCTTTGTGTCCTAAAGCCCCACCTTCTTAATTATCCATCATCTGCTTTGGCTTTTCCCTTGGCCACCAATAAACTGAAAGGGAACACTTGAAAAATGACATCCTGGGTTGGGCGCAGTGGCTCACGCCTGTAATCCCAGCACTTTGGGAGGCCAAGGTGAGGTCAGGAGTTTGAGACCAGCCTGACCAACATGGCGAAATCCCGTCTTTGCTAAAAATACAAAAAAAATTAGCTGGGCGTGGTGGCAGGCGCCTGTAATCCCAGCTACTAGGGAGGCTGAGGCAGGAGAATTGCTTGAACCCTGAGAGGCGGAGGTTGCAGTGAGCTGAGATCACACCACTGTACTCCAGCCTGGGCTAAGAGAGAGAGTGTGCATGCGTGTGTGTGTGTGTGTGTGTGTTTTGTAAAGACAGGGTTTTGGCATGTTGCCCAGGCTGGTTTCAAGTGATCCAACTGCCTAAGCTCAAGCAATCCTCCTGTCTCGGCATCACTTCGGCCTCCCAAAGTGCTGGGATTACACGCATAAACCACGGAGCTTGGCCTTTGCTCTGTTCTTGATGGAAACAGTAGCCAGCTCTGATCCTGGGGTCCTGCTGATAGCTGGGGAAGTGTTTTATTGAGGATGAATAGTGTGGCTCCTTCTTATCCCACTGGCAGGGTAGAAGTGAAGCCTCTCCGAGTGCAAGGGCATAGGCCTGAGAAGCCCTTCTCGTCTCACCTCCTCTCCAGGGTAAGAGAAGCTGAGAGTACAGCTGGCTCCTTCCTCCAGTCTCAGGGAAGAAACGGCACACTTGGAGACACAAATTTTTTTAATGTAAAATAACATTGAGAGTTCACCTAAACATCTGTCTTAGAAATTCAGGTTGAGGGCTATGAAGGGAAGAGATGCTGTTAGAACAGAGGGAAGTGGGTGACCTCTCCAAAGACAGACGTGCTCCGACGGAGAGCTGGGGTGTTCCCGCGGTAGCCAAACCTTCCACTGAACCCACTGACCAGTTTGACATCAGCATTGTAGTGGCCATCTGCTGGAGAGGATGCCCTTGGGGGCAAGGAGAGAGAGGCCTGAGCCTGCTTCCAGTCCACCTCTTGGCTTCCCCATTCCCCTGGGTGTGGTATGGGATGCCAACCAGGTGTAGTCACTGCATTCCCCATGCCCACAGCCAAACACGCAATCCTCAAATGTCCTGAGCCTCTGGGCTGAAAAGCCAAGGGCTGGTGAGGTTGAGGGACAGAAGGCTTCCTAGAAATAAAACCCTGCACCAGGAATAATTGCGGGAAGACTGTGAATGGTTTGTGCTGGGACAGGAGGGGCCAGAAATTCTGGGCTTGGCAGAGCTTGCCTTTCTCCCACGAGAAATGAGAAAAATCTCACCCTTGTCTCTGACCCATGTGGAAAAAATGGATGAGATCAAGATCAATTGGACCAAATGGTACAAAGGATCATGTGAGTAGAGGAGTGGCCCAGGATGGTGGAGTTGGGCTGGGAGGAGGGTTTACCCTGTTAGAAAAGTATCTCTCAACTCTTTCCCATTGTTGTTAACCTGGGCCTGGAAAATGAGCAGGACACAGCAGTGAGGGGAACAGGGGCTTCAGAGTTGGGAAGAGCGGAATCTTAATCCCAGCTCAGCCCTTCTTGCCAAACCACTTTAACTCAACAAACTTGTTTCCCAAACTGTGCCGTGGGGTTAGTGTGAGGGTGAGAAGTGTCTTACAAATGGCTCGTGTCTGTAATGCCAGCACTTTGGGAGGCTGAGGCCAGAGGATCACTTGAGCCTAGGAGTTCAAGACCAGCCTGGGAAACATAGGGAGACGCCATCTCTACAAAAAATAAAAAATTAACTGAGTGTGGTGGTGCACACCTGTGGGCCCAACTGCTCAGAAGACTGAGGTGGGAGGATTGCTCAAGCCCAAGGAGGTCAAGACTGCAGTGAGTAGTAATTGTGCTACTGCAACTCATGCACTCCAGCTTGGGCGACAGAGTGAGACCATGTCTCAAAAAAAAAAAAAGGTGGGGGGGGCCTGACATACAGTAGGTGCTTATTAGCTAGTATCAGGGAGTACTGTGCCACCATCTGCTTGTGTATGTGAAGAAAAGCTGGAAAGATGCAGTCCCTGGGCCTCTTCCCCTCAACCAGGCTTTGCTATGGCCCAGGAACCATCATGAGGCTGGAAATGGAGGCAGCACTTGCCTGTCTCTGCCCAACTTCTCCTGTTGAGGTATCTCTGTCCTTTCCTGAAGATGTGGAGGATGCATTCTACTATCCAGCCATCCCTTCCTGTGCCACCATGATCCTGAATGTGGGAAAGAGAATACAGAAGACTGTCAGCCACAATGCTGAGGGGGCACAGTGCAAACTGCCCTGGGGTTTGCTGGTGGGAGAAGGAAGAGGTCAGAGCCTTAGATAACTGGGGCGGACGGATTAAATATATTTAAGAATCGGGCCAGGTGCGGTGGCTCAGGCCTATAATCCCAGCACTTTGGGAGGCTGAGGCGGGCAGATCACCTGAGGTCAGGAGTTTGAGGCCAGCCTGACCAACATGTAGAAACCCCCATCTCTACTAAAAATACAAAATTAGCCAGGCGTGGTGGCACGCGCCTATAATCCAACCTACTCGGGAGGCTGAGGCAGGAGAATCACTAGAACCCAGGAGGTGGAGGGTGCGGTGAGAGCGCCATTGCACTCCAGCCTGGGCAACAAGTATAAAACACCATCTCAAAAAAAAAAAAAAAATTTGGTTCTTTATAGAATATGCTGTATTAGTCAGGGTACTGGCAGGAAACATTCAAGTGGGTAACTGCGAGTCTACCTAGTGAGGCATTCTGGGCCAGCAACAGTGAGGTGTGATGACCAGCTGTAGGTCTGAAGGGACAAATGAAGAGTTGCTGGAACCCGGCTCTCTCTGAGCGCTTTCCAATAGAAGTGGTGGGTTTTGGTTACAGCCACCCACAGCCCAACCAGAAGGGAGCCGGGGAACCACTCCCTCTCCTCTTGCCCTCTGTGTTCTACTGCTGCTTCCCACTGGCTGAACCTACCTAGCTGCTGGGAGCCAGGGAACCCTGACCTAGTCCAGAGGTGAGTCTTTTGGGCATGCACAGAGCAGGGTGGAGATGGACAGATGATGAGGGCAGAGTGGGTCTGGAGGGGCCCAGGGAAGCTCTCCAGGAAGGCTATGAAAGCTGGTCCCAGCAGCCCAAGCTCATGATCTCCTAAGTCATTCACAGAAGTGCATGTCACACCATGATTCTTCTCTTGGTTTTATTGTTTGGTAGAAAAACAGGCTCTTTAACACTGAATAAACATCTCACGAACTGTCGCTCCTAGATTACAAAAAGTCAAAACCAATTTCCTTTGACGCCGGGCCCTTGAATCTGACATTCAAGTCACCGTAATAGAAACCAGAGCTGCTGAACCTTACATTCTGGAAGGTGCTTGAACAAAGGCATGTTAAGGACCGTTTAAAACTTCTAGCATGTAAGAAGATCCATCTTTCCTTCCAACGCCTTTGGATAATAACAGCAGAATCCCGGAGATCTGCTGCTGAGTTTGAGAAGGCCAAGTTTAAGGATTCCAAACTCCAGCCTTCAATATTTCTGCAGAAACTTAGAGAAGTAACCTCCCCGTCCTCTCCGCTGGCTTCCCCAAGTACAGATGCAGGATGCAGGTCTTTCTTCCTGCTACCCAGGCACCGAGGACTCAAACCATCTCACCGTCTCATCACTGGGCTTCTTCAATGGGCTCTTGGAGGAAGAAGCTTTTCGTTTTTGCCAATCTTCAGTCCTTAGAAAAGTCCTTTTTGTTAAGAAAAGGCAGGGAGGGTTAACTAAGTTCTAAGAATTCAATAAGAAAAGGAAAGAGGTACCTTTTATGAAAAGGACTTCCAAGCTCTCTCAGCCAGCAATTTAACTCAAATAACTTTCCTGAGCATCTCCACACGGAACATTCAGCACTTCTCTCCTAGCAGCCAGAGGATGGGATCTGTGTACACTGAGTGTCACTTAAAACACCCTCATTAGATGCAGTAAAAAGTTACGCTTTACTCCCGTAAGTCAAATCCACATGGCTCTGGGCTGTGCCCTGCAGAATTAGCTGTAGGAGTAACAGTAAAGGTCCTGCCCGACAGCCATGAGCAGCCCCGGCGCGCCCCGGGAGCCCCCCAGCCGCGACGAGAAGGCCACACTGGGAATGTCGGCCTTGGAGGCAGGGTACGGGGAGGGTATGGTTCTCAGTAGGCGGGCATCGTGGAGGCTCCAGATTCTCGTGTAGCAGTCCTGGCCCACTAGGAAAGAGGAGAGACACATGGCAGGCTAGTGAGAGAATGCAAAGGAAAACTTACCTACATGTGGACATGGCTTCCCAAGATTCCTCAGGGCTGTGATTTCATGTGAGCCAAAACACAAACTCATTAACGGACAGTATTTCTACGGATAACCCAAGTCGCCCTGTTGTGCTAGAACAATGACAAGATGCCCTGGTTGGCTGTGTGATGCCATGAATGGCTCGGAGACATCCTGGCTAATGTCTGGGTATTCTGCTGCTCTTGATGTCACGGAACGTTCAAGTGCGAGTGTGGCCCACCTGGTCTAGGTGACATGCAACTGATTTCCCCCATTTTTTAGGGACAGGGTCTTGCTCTGTCGCCCGGGCTGGAGTGCAGTGGTGTGATCAGGGCTCACTGCAGCCTTGAACTCCTGGGCCCAAGCCATCCTTCTGCCTCAGCCTCCTGAGTTAACTGGGACTACAAGTGTGTGCCGCCATGCCTAATTTTTTTTTTTTTTGAGATAGGGTCTTGCTGTGTTGCCCCAGCTGGTCTTAAACTCCTGGCCTCAAGCTCCCTAAGTGCTGGAATTATAGCTACCACACCTGGCCTGATCTTTTCATGTTATAGTAAAAGATCTGTCAAAGTCATTACATCCTGGGGATGGGCTAGGTTGACAACTCTCCCCACAGCTCTTTCTGGTTTAATGCTTCAGTTCCTAGGACCGGTTTAAGTCTTCAGGGCTCCAGTTCTGAGGACTGTGACACACAACAGCATGGGTTACAGCAGCCCAGAAACATGATATACACTACTGGAGACCTTCAGCAGGAGAAGAGGACAGGCCTTGGGCAGTCATGGATTTCACATTTGTGATTCTGATCACTTGTGTGGCTCTAAGACCAGAAGTGCTATCTTGGCTGAAGCTGAATCCCGGCTGCAGTTTATTACTGCAGCTGGTAACTACCTGCATCTGCCTCTCAGCAAGGCTGAGCTCTCTCTATCATCCAGCTCACAAGAGCTCTTCTGTGATAAAAACAGGTGAAAAATCGACTTAAAAAGGAGGCGAAGTCCTGGTGTTGATGAGAATAGTAAATAAGTCTATGAATGTCCTAACAAAGTAATGCTTCCTAGCCACAAAAATGTTCCATGGGGTATAAGCCCTTTCTATAGGAATACCAGTAGAGGTGACAATTCTTGAAGACTGAGAACACATTCTGCAGTGTCAGCAGCTACTATTTCAGTGTGAAAGCATTGAGCCTGCACACTGTCTGATTACGCTATAGCCACCATCATCTGTAATCAACTGGTAACTCCCTTCCAGGGGGCTTAGTGGCCAGATAGCTGCTCCTAATCTGCAGATCATGGAGCCACAGGGATGGTAGTAAAGGGGCCACAAATCTTTTTTATTTATTTATTTATTTTGAGACGGAGTCTCGCTCTGTTGCCAGGCTGGAGTGCAGTGGCGTGATATCGGCTCACTGCAACCTCCGACTTCCTGGTCCAAGCAATTCTCCTGCTTCTGACTTCCGAGTAGCTGAGAGATTACAGGCAGGTGCCACCATGCCCAGTTAATTTTTGTATTTTAGTAGAGATGGGGTTTCACCATGTTGGCCAGGATGGTCTCAATCTCCTGACCTCGTGATCCACCCTCCTTGGCCTCCCAAAGTGTTGGGATTACGGGCGTGAGCCACCGCGCCGGGCCGGGGCCAAGAATCTTTACAATGACCATAACTTCTTTTCTCAGCATCCTCTGGTGGAAATGTGAGTAGAGACAACAGGGAGCCCAAGTTTTTGGATAAGATAGTTGCGTGGTGGAATAATGCTGGCCTGATGAAATCCACTCAAACTCCAAACCCAGGCTCCCCAGGACCTCCCCACCTGCCTGTTTCTGAAGTGACGTTTGCCCACTGACATGGGATGAGGCTGTCCACCTGGTGGACATTTATTTACACTCCTGATTACTAATATAATCTAATTCTACTTCCCTCCTAGTCTCCCCACCCAGCTGTCCACACTCCCCTTGATTCAGTTCTGTTTTGGGGTAACTTTTCCCTCTGCTGCTGAAGTTGCTGGGATCGCCCCTGAGAGACAGTATTTGATGGGGTGGAACTTCCCCTTCCTTCCTCAAGTACCTGCCACCAGGATTCCTTCTTCCTCGTGCACATGCAGGGGCAGGTAGGCGTACTCATTCACGTGGCCTTCGTACTGCCTTACGCACTTCGTGGTCCTCAGGTCCCACAGCTTGATCTGTGGAAAAAGCACCAGGGGCCATCAGGGAGGGGCCAGGGGGTACCATGGTGGTCCCCAAGTGCAAAGCCAGGAAGGCAAGGTGGTCTCCAGTGGCCTGTGCAGGTCATGAAGATCTCCATCTCGAATTCTTGAGCCTTGTTGTTCATCAAAAGCATGTAACCAGGCCGGGCACGGTGGCTCATGCCTGTAATCCCAGCACTATGGGAGGCCAAGGTGGGCAGATCATGAGGTCAGGAGTTCGAGACCAGCCTGACCAACATGGTGAAACCCCATCTCTACTAAAAATACAAAAATTAGCCGGGCGCAGTGGCGGGTACCTGTAATCCCAGCTACTCAGGAGGCTGAGGCAGGAGAATCGCTTGAACCTGAGAGACAGAGGTTGCAGTAAGCCAAGATAGTACCACTGCACTCCAGCCCGGGCGACAGAGCAAGACTCCATCTCAAAAAAAAAAAAAAAAAAAAAAAAAAGGACATAACCAGAGAATCCTTTTCACTTTTGTTTACGTCAGATTAGGCTCATATGGTCAACGAAGCAGTCCCCATGCAGGGCCTACAAATCACTTGGTCTTCAGCGAAATTCCCCTGCCTGGGGTCTTGGTGTGAGGACCTCTTCAGCAGAACCCTTTCACCTGGCAGGGCACTGGGCCACGAGACCCTGTGGCCTGAGAAAGTCCATGATCCCCTACCTTTCCAGCCATGTCTGAAGCCATCAGGTATTGCTCATCTTGGAGGATCCGCACAGAGGTCACTGCTGAATCATGAAACAGGCGGGTGGCCTTCCATCCCTTGCCTTGATTTCCACAACGCAGATCAATGGCAAAGATTTCCCCAGAGCGGCAGCCATTAAACAGCAGAGGAGCCTGTGGAAAGAGGGACTGCTCAGTGCCTGGCTATCATGACATCCCTCTGAGGCTGGGCAGGGCAGGTCCTCCTGATACAACCCCTCTTCCAGCCTCTGGGTCAGACGGTGTGATTAGACACGTGCTGGTCAGGGTTTGGGTCTCAATGGAGTTGGAAGGGAGGATGATTCCTTGTTAGTGGCTAGAAGAACCAGACCCCATGTGTCCTCCTCATGGGTAGCACGGAGGTCCTAGGAGCTGCCCCCCACCCCCCTGCACTGTCCCGTTTGGCCTTTCTCTCTGAAGTCCCAGAGATAGCATTCCATCTCCACCAAAAGCAGGTTAGTGGGTTCATTCACTTTTAAGGGAAGACGGCATTTTCTAGAGAAAAGTCTGTGAAATATAGTAATGACCACAATTTTTTTTTTTTTTTGAGACAGAGTCTTGCTCTGTTGCCCAGGCTGGAGTGCAGTGGTGTGATCTTGGCTCACTGCAACCTCCGCCTCCCGGGTTCAGGCAATTCTCCTCAGTCTCTCGAGCAGCTGGGATTACAGGCGCCCAGCACTATGCCTGGCTAACTTTCGTATTTTTAGTAGAGAAGGGGTTTCACCATCTTGGCTAGGCTGGTTTTGAACTCCTGACCTTGTGATCCACCCATCTTGGCCTCCCAAAGTGTTGGGATTACAGCCATTCATTAGCCACTGTACCTGGCCTGATTTTTTAAACATATAAAATATATAACCTGGGAGCTGTGAAGAATTGGTGTTTGGCTTATACATTTTAAAAATGGTTTGTCCTACTGGGTAAATCCAAGTACCCAAGAACTGCTCACAATACCTTTCCATGAGAGGTTGTGTAGAGCAACTCAGGCCAGCCTTTCTGGATCAACCAACTTTCACTCGGCTCAGACACCCTTACAAAGGAACCCACTGATCCTTTCTGATGCTCTTTCTCCCCTGTCAAAGAGTACTAGATGGCACACAGAGGAGTCCAATTTCAATCTGGCCAAATTTCTACATGGGGCAAACTTTTATATTCTGCCTGTCCCAATCCAACCAACCATGAGAGCAAACTGCTGGGCCAAGACATCACTGTTGGTCCCAAAGGACTGCCGGTGTCCCGTCACCACGTTGGTCAACAGGACCCGCCGAGACAAGCCTGGCGGAGACAGAGATGGGCTGGTAAGATTATGTCACATGTAGTCTGGGGAGAGGGACAACTACATGGGGTTTTAAGGCCTGTTAAGGCCTCTTCTCTGGGCACCTGGGGAGCCAGGCTCACCTGTACTGAAGCAGTTATTTGCTTGGATATTCAGGGACCAGGCACAGGACCAGGCACCAGGGATCCGGAAACTGCAGAGCATGCCAGGCCGGTCTATTCCTGCTAAGGGGATAGGAGAATGTAAAGTGTGGCTGCCTTCTAGGCAGGCCAGGGACCACTGGGTTCGGAAAACATCCAAATATGCCCATAGCTGCTCAGAGGGTCTATACCTTTGGCCCCATTCTGGGTTTTGTGGTTGCAAGAGAGACTCAGCTGGGATGCCTGGCTCACAAGTGGTTATTCCGAAAATGCATCTTTGTTAACGTTCCCAGTAGTCGTGTTTACAGTACGAATAGTACTGATATCAGGGAGGTAGTATACTGTTGGAGGTAAGGTGGCTCCGATCCTCGATCACCTACCAGCTATGTGATCTCAGGCAAGTGTGTGTGTATATACACACACACACACACACACACACACACACACACACACACACACACAAATAAATAAATAAATAAACTATATATATATATATATATATATATATATATTTTTTTTTTTTTTTTTTTTTTTTAAGACAGGGTCTTGTTCTTTTGCCCAGTCTGGAGTGCAGTGGCGTGATCATGGCTCAATGCATCCTCAACCTCCCAGGCTCAAGGAATCCTCCCATCTCAGCCTCCCAAGTAGCTGGGATCACAGGTGTGAGCCACCACACATGGCTAATTATTTATTTTTTGTAGAGATTGGAGTCTTGCTATGTTGCTCAGGCTGGTCTTGAACTCCTGGGCTCAAACGATTATCCTGCCTTGGCCTCCCAAAGTGTTGAGATTACAGGCATGAGCCACTGTGCTTCGAAAAAATATTTTTTAAAATAAACTTTTGCATTGATAGAACGTACAGATTGTAAGGATACAGTTCAGTGAGTTATCACAAACTAAATATAGCCATGTACCCACCACCCAGGTTAAGAAATAAAACAATCCATGCCAGGCGTGGTGGCTCACGCCTGTAATCCCAGCACTTTAGGAGGCCGAAGCGGGTGGATCACCTGAGGTCGGGAGTTCGAGACCAGCCTGACCAACATGGAGAATCCCATCTCTACTAAAAATACAAAAATCAGCCGGGTGTGGTGGTACATGCCTGTAATCCTGGCTACTTGGGAGGCTGAGGCAGGAGAATCGCTTGAGCCCCAGAGGCGGAGGTTGCGGTGAACTGAGATCGTGTCATTGCACTCCAGCCTGGGCAACAAGAGTGAAACTCCATCTCAAAAAAAAAAAAAAAAAAAAAAAAAGGCCGGGCATTGTGGCTCACACCTGTAATCCCAGCACTTTGGGAGGCCGAGGCAGGTGGATCACGAGGTCAGGAGTTCGAGACCAGCCTAACCAACATGGTGAAATCCCGTCTCTACTAAAAATACAAAAATTAGCCGGGCGTGGTGGTGTGCGCCTGTGATCTCAGCTACTTGGGAGGCTGAGGCAGGAGCATTGCTTGAACCTGGGAGGCGGAGGTTGTGGTGAGCTGAGATCGTGCCATTGCACTCCAGCCTGGGCAATAAGAGCAAAACTCCGTCTCAAAAAAAAAAAAAAAAAAAAGACAAGACAAGACATAAAACAATCCAGTACCCCAGAGGCCTCCCTCACATCCCTTTCCCAATTACTACCTCCCCAAAGGGTACTGTGAGCCTGACCTCCAACACTAAAAATTACTTTTGTAAGACAAATTCTGAAACTGTCTGCCTCAGTTTCCTTATCTGTAAAATGGTGGTAAGACACACTCCTGCCTCATAAGCTTGCTGTGCAATGAAATACCAGGCACTGGGCTAAATGTGCATGATCTCACCTAATTCTCCACGGATGTGGACTGAGAAGGCCCTGTCCACTTTAGAGAGGTTCAACATTCCATTCAAGTTGGCAAGGGGCAGAGCTGGGATTCGTGCCAGGTCTGCCTGAAGCCCACACTCTTAAGAGGCCTCTCACCCTGGTCTTATTGATCCTAATTTTCTGATAGACTGAAATGTAATATCCAGAATGCTGTCAGGAAGGAGGAGTCAAATTGCCTTAACGTAGGCAGACTGTTAAGTATCCCTGATAGCACCTGAGGTGCTTTGGACCTTCAGAGGTGTTTTCTGAATGATGTGCACGGGCGTCCGAATCTGTTCTGAGCTCACGCTGGTTTACATGCGTGTTAAGTCTGCTCTGGCTGCTGAAATGACTGAAATGGCCCAAGATGGGTAAAAAGGGGCAGATGCTGTAAAAAAAACACATGCTTCTGGTACTAACCCTGGGACAGGCTTAGGGAATCCTCCCACAGTGCCTCTGCAGCGGCCCCATACTTCTCTCTAAGCCACCCCCACACAGCTCTCGGGAGACAGAGGACAGATTTCTTTAAAGGAGGAGAACCCTGTACCTGGGTGACTATTGACGAACAGTGATGCTGGGAGCAGGGTGGCACAGCCTGGAGTCTCTGCGAGTCCCATGAGGCATAGCCTGGAAAAAGCTGTTAAGGACAGTTAGGCACAAGGCTCCCCTCTGGGAGGAGGCATGGACATTTACCCTTCAGAAAGTCATACGGCACACAACCTAGGCCAGAGTAACCCCCACCGTCCAGATTCAACATGCGTTTACACTGCCCACATTTACCTTCAGATGTTTTTTTTTTGTTTGTTTGTTTTTGAGACGGAGTTTCGCTCTTGTTGCCCAGGCTGGGGTGCAATGGCGCGATCTCGGCTTACCGCAACCTCTGCCTCCCAGGTTCAAGCGATTCTCCTGCCTCGGCTTCCTGAGTAGCTGGGATTACAGGCATGTGCCACCACGCCCGGGTAATTTTGTATTTTTAGTAGAGACGGGGTTTCTCCAAGTTGGTCAGACTCGTCTCGAACACCCGACCTCACGTGATCCGCCCGCCTCGGCCTCCCAAAGTGCTGGGATTATAGGGGTGAGCCATCGTGACTGGCCAGCTTCAGATGTTTTTTAAAGGGAAAAACAAATCAGATATAGTTAAAAGCTGGGTGTGGTGGCTCCTGCCTATGTAATCCCAGCACTTTGGGAAGCTGAGGCAGGAGGATCACTCGAGTCCAGGAGTTCGAGACCAGCCTGGGAAACACAGCAAAACCTTGTCTCTACAAAAAATACAAAAACTAGCTGGGCGTGGTGGTGTGTGCCTGTAGTACCAGCTCCTTGGGAGGCTGAGGTGGGAGGATTGCTTGAGCCTTGGAAGTCAAGGCTGCGGTGAGCTGTGATCATGTGACCGCACTCCAGCCTGGGTGACAGAGTAAGACCATGTCTCAAAAATAAAATACTATTAAAAAGCCCAAAAAGCCCTCTCTGATCCCTCCCTAGTCCAATTCTCCCTTCTCCTCTACTCAGAGAGAACTGCTCTTCTCAAATTGGTGTAAGTTCTTCTAAGCCATGCTGTATTTCCACTACATATATTTGTCAATAAATAACACAAAGCAGCTTTTGTTTAAAAAAAAACATACAGAAATGGCATTGCATGGAATATCTCACTACCAGCCCTTAAAATTTCTGCTTATCTGAATGGGTACCAGGTGATACCTCACTGTTATTTAAATTTGCATTTCCCTGACTACATGTGGGTGTCTCTGTTCACATGAGCATAGTCGTTGGAGTTCCCTCTCTGACCTGCCCCTTTATACCCTTGCCTACGTGTGTGTCTTTTGACTGACGCGGTTCCTCTCCTTTTCCCCTCATAGCCAAACTTTGTTCCAGAGGAGCCTGTATTTATTCTCATTCCCTTGCCTTTCCTCCACTGAAATCCAGGCCTGACCCTCACCTTCCCAGAGAAATGTTCTCATCAGTCTTCAATGAGCCTCTGGTTTCTAAATCTGATGGAAACATTCCAGTTCTGCCCTATGGCCATGTAGCCCAATTTCTACTACACACTCCTTGGCCTCAACCCACCACTCTCTGGGAGGTCTATCCTGGCCTTCTCCTATCACAAGATGCCCGGGCTAGAGCCTGCACCTGCCTCTTGGTGCCCTTCCCTCCACTCCTGATACCTCGTTTCACGCCCTCACCACCGCCCTTAGTCTTGC
This sequence comes from Homo sapiens, assembly GCF_000001405.40. Taxonomy (NCBI): domain Eukaryota; kingdom Metazoa; phylum Chordata; class Mammalia; order Primates; family Hominidae; genus Homo; species Homo sapiens. The sequence goes on along the minus strand of NC_000014.9, from coordinate 72,950,229 downwards.
AGCAGCTTCTGTCTGAGGACTTGCTCTCGTCCGTCTATCCCCCAACAATGCCACCAAAGGAATCATTTTCAAAAATGACTCCACAATCACAACCCCCTGGGACCTCCCACAGCCCTGAGCGAGCATTCAGTCTTGAAAGGCCCTGCTCCCTAGCCAGAGACATCATGAATATCAAACTGCTGCCAAACATACCAAGCTTTCTCCCAACTCCTCCTATTAGGGGTCCCTGGCCTCTTCCTGCCCTCATGGGTCTCCCTCCAGGAAGGTGGCTGCAATCCCTCCTGCATGCAGCTTTCCTCCTACACTGAGGACTTGTGGAGCTGCCTGTCTCTATCTCCTTGCAACTGCATATACTCGATAGGTGTTGTCTGAATGACCACACATATTCCTCACTGGAAAATGTAAATATCTGAAAAGCAATCATGTAACTTTTAAAAATCTTCTTAAACATTTTATTTTTATATACATTTTTTGAGATGGAGTCTTGCTCTTTCGCTCAGGCTGGAGTGCAGTGGCGCAATCTTGGCTCACTGCAACCTCTGTCTCCCGGGTTTTCAAGCAATTCACCTGCCTCAACTTCCCGAATAGCTGGGATTACGGGTGCGTGCCACCACACCTGGCTAATTTTTGTATTTTTAGTAGAGATGGGGTTTCACCATGTTGGCCAGGCTGGTCTTGAACTCCTGACCTCAAGTGATCCGCCTGCCTCAGCCTCCCAAAGTGCTGGGATTATGGGAATGAGCCACTGTGCCCAGTCACTTTTCTCTTTTTTAAGAGACAGGGTCTCTCTCTTTCACCCAGGCTGGAGTGCAGTAGTGTGATCACAGCTCACTGCAGCTTTGAACTCTGGGGCTCAAATGATCCTCCTGCCTCAGCTTCCTGAGTACCTGGAACTAAAGGCATGCACCATGATGCTCAGCTAATAGAATTTTATTATTATTTTTTTTGTAGAGAGGTCTTTCTGTATTGCCCAGGCTGGTCTCAAACTCCTGGCCTCAAGCAATCCCCCAACTTTGGCCTCCCAAAATGCTGAGATTACCGGTGGGAGCCACCATGCCTGGCCAGGTGACATTCTTGACTATCTGAGTATGTGATGTGTATGTGACATACCGCTCTGGGTAGTAAGCTCCAAATTAAGTATCTCCAGGATATACCAGGTGCTGAAACTGTAAATGAGAACACCACCACCAAATAAACTTATTTTGCTTCTGGGTTTGGAAGGCAAGGAAGTGAAGAAAGTGGGATGTGCATGTTAGTTACTGTTGCTGAATCTCAGCTTATTTATACTCAAACTTTGAGTACTTACGGAGCCAGGCTAAGATTTAATCCTTTGACAGGCCACAGGTTAACTAAGGGCCCAATAAGTGTAGAAAGAATTCCATCTAACTTCCCACCACTCTTGCAGGAAAAATGCAGAGTGCAGGTCTGAACAAAGTACCATTTTTCTAAAGGGAAAAAGTTACCTGAACTTCTGAAGCAGCACAAAAAATCTTCAGCACAAAAGCCCGAAGGCTACCAGAAATGGCCACCAGAGGGCGAGCCACTGATGAAGCTACAACAGACCATCCATCCCTTTAAGTCCAATTACATGGATTTTTTTTTCCTCTCCTTAGCCCACAGAAACGAGAATACCATGCTGTTTTAAGACTGGAAATGTGAGTGAGGTTCTTGTTTTTGCTTTCTGCAGAGCTTGGCCTCTTTAGCCCTCTGGTTAGATCATCATAGTAACATGTGGTCAGTCCCATTGGCCTACAGAACCCCATCAAATGAAAGCCACATAAAATTTGCAATTTAGAGAACACACATAGTTTGATGCCTTATATAAATTTATAATCAGGTCGCTAATGTATTTAGGCTCTATGACCCTTTGAAATGTAAGCTGGGTGTGGTGGTGCATACCTACAGTCCCAGTGACTTGGGAGGCTAAGGCAGGAGGATCACTTGAGCCCAGGAGTTCTAGGCTGGAGTGAGCTATGATTGTACCACTGCACTCCAGCCTGGGTGACAGGGCAAGACCCCTTTCTCTGAAAAAAATTAAAATCCAAAAAAACTCCTTTGAAATACAGTGCTGTGAAACAAATAAAATTTACAAAAAAGATCCTGATTCAGTTATCATTTGTCGAGGACCAATGATGTCCAGAAACTGCTAGGTGCCTTCACAGGAGTTAACTAATGTTAATCTCACCACAACTCAGGAAGTAGGTGTGAGGTACAATGAGTAGTCACATTGTTTCCAGAACACATTTAATAAGAGAATGAACCAAGGACAAGAGTCATTAACATGTGGTTTTGGGTGAGTCAAGTCTTGTGCCATATCAACAGCCCCCAAGGGTCCCAGAGGCCAGGGACCACGACACTGTACTACCGTGCTCTCAGCAAAGTGGCTCTGCTTGCTCTCCGGGAAGGCAGAGACTAGTGTGATGAGTGCTCTAAAAAGCTGTTGCCAGCAGGGACCTGAGGCCCAGAGCCCACAGACCCATGTCCACTGCCAAAGGAACCCCCTCTCTGACCTTGCCCTCAGCTTCCCCTAGGAGGACCCTGCTCTCCTGACCACTGTTTTCCTCCCTGGCCTCAGGAGGAGCTGGGCTTCCTCCCCAAGGCTGTGCTGCTCCTTTCTGCCTTGTTCCTCTGCTACCACACCAGCCCTCCGGCAGGAATACTGGGTCTGTGTAGTGAACCCAGAGCCTCCCGTCACACGCCACAGTGGCAGAGTGAGCCGGCCTTGGAGTCAGACTGCCTGAGTTCCCATTCTGTCTCCACCACATGCATGTGAAGGCCCAGACAGTGTCTGCCACACAGTGACATCAATGTCACCTTGAGAAACAGCCATGATGGGACCTCAGCTGCTTCTCTGTGCTCCACGGGCATCCTTGTGTTCTATCCAGGTACGCTGCTTTTTTTTCTAAAGCGTGAGATGTAAGTGCACAAGGGTCTAGTCCTCTGGTCACTAAGATGCCATGTCATGAAGCCCACAGATACCCAGGTCCAACGTCAGGGTGTGGCCTGCCCACCAAACCTCTTCCTCTGCCAAAGGATACAGAATGTGGGAATCCAAGTGATTCAGCGAGGCCCAGCACACCGAATTCACCTGGTGAGGAAGCACACAGCGAGATGGAAAGTTATTCTACAGTAATATGCTTTCCTGTGGAATAACATGTGGGGACACAGACGTGTGACTTCTCTCTTCACGTCCTGCTCCTCTTCAAATGGGCTGGAACAAGCATTCTGAGGGTGGGGCTTAAGCAGGACAGGAAGTAACCTCAAGCCTGAGTCCTTCAACAGACCCACAGGGAGACATCTGGTCTATCTGGCATACCCTCTGGGCAGGGCTGAATTTTCTACAATGGCAGGAGATAAGCCGAACTCTGAAGGTGTATCTCACTTCACCCAGAAGCCATTTTCAACCTGTATCCATCTTGCAGCTTATGCTTCAACTGAATAGCAAGTCACAGCTTCTCACGGATGCCGCCATCACCCCACTGCAACTTAAAGGTTGCTCCCTAGACAGCAAGCTCCTCTTATTTGTTTAAGCCTCAGTGCTGGCTGCGGCCTGGCTGGATGACGCATCACTCTGACACACAGGGCAGGACCCCTCCCATGCAGGCCACAGTCACTGTCGCCCATTTCCAAGGAACTCTGTGCCCTGGTGTGGGCCCTTCCAGATCAACTCCTGGACCCCTGGAGGGACGGTCCTGAGGACCAGTTAAACAAGCGCTGCTTCAACCTACCCCAACCATCTCATTTCACTTTCTTTTCCAAGACAAGAAACTCCTGGAGTCCTTTTCTTTCCCTATGGGTTCTCAGCAACCATAAATCCATTTTTTTGAGACAGGGTCTCGCTCTGTTACCCAGGTTGGAGTGCAGTGGCACGATCATGGCTCACTGCAGCCTTGATCTCCTGGGCTCAGGTGATCTTCCCACCTCACCTCCCCCCGAGCCCCCAAGCAGCTGGGACTACAGGTGCGCGCCACCACACTCAAATAATTTTTTTTTTTTTTTTTTGTAGAGACAAGGTTTCACCATGCATGTTATGCTGCCCAGGTTGGTCTGAAACTCCTAGGCTCAAGTAAAAAATCAAGTCTTATGGAAAAATGAGGTAAGTATGCTCTGCCCTCTTCCCCAGTTGCTCTCCTCTACCCTGAATTTGGCCAACTACCCCCAGGGTCAAGTGTGCAGAGAGGCTACAGGGATGGGCAACGTACCTTCCGGTTGGTGAAGTAGAGGTTTTCGTGCATGAACACCTTGAGCGTAGGGGTCTTCAGACTTTGCAGGTTGATGATACCATACTTGGAGCCTCCAACTTTAACATCGTTCACTGTGAAGAGCCGGTCACTGTTGGTATCTGCCTGGAGAAGGGAAGGGGGCAGTGGGTGACGTCCCAGGCTGCGCCTGGTGGACTGCCTAAGAGGGACCTGCCCGTCTCTCCTGGCCCCCATGCTCTGTGCATTTTCACTAGGTGAGAGTTCCTCTCCATGAGCGAGAGTGGAGATGACCTCACTTTCCCCAACTTAGTGCAGCCATGTCTGGGCAAAGCCAGCACGTGTCTGATCTAACAATTCAAGAGGAAGGATGAGAATGGCAGTGAGGGGACATGGCCAGAAAGTCTGAGGTCTGCATGAGGACCTCACTCAGAAGTGGGTTTGGGAGAGCCCTAGCATCCACCCAGAGGAATGTGTCATGTGCCATCACGAAGGCTGTGGCGCAATAGGAAAAATGCTAGTTCCTATTACATAGGCACTATTTTTTTTTTTTTTTACCACCATGAAAAAAAAATTGCATTGAATAAAACGTGCAATAGAAAAAGACTGCATTCAAATGTAGGCTATTTTTTTTTAAGAGGTGGGGTCTCACTGTTGTCACCCAGGCTGGAGTGCAGTAGCATGATCATGGCTTATGATAACCCTGAACTCCTGGGCTCAAGTGATCTTCTCTCCTCAGCCTCCTGAGCAGCTAGGACTACAGGCATGAACCACTGTGCCTGGCTACTTTTATATTTTTTTGTAGAGATACGGTCTCGCTATGTTGTCCAGGCTGGTCTTGAACTTCTGGCCTCAAGTGATCCTTCTGCCTCAGCCACCCAAAGTGCTGGGATTACAGGTGTGAGGCACCATGCCTCGCTCAGGATGTGGGCTAATTTTTTTGAGAGGGAGTCTTACTCTGTCGCCCAGGCTGAAGTACAGTGG